>NW_003571061.2:213632-361078 GCF_000001405.40 Homo sapiens | reverse complement strand
GAATTCTCATTTACTGAGATGGGAAAGACCTTAGGAGGAGGAGATTTGGGAGTGAATATAAGCAACTTATATTATAACATGTTATAAACACGTGAGGTTTAAGTTCCTACTGGACATCTACTGTGTGGCTTGATGTTTTTGATTCATTTTAGGAAATATTGTTCAGTAACCCTTCCAATATCGTGTCTGCCTTTCTCTTTCTCTGTCTTTCTTCCCCTTATGGGATTCCAGTTGTACATATGTTAAGTATTTTCACCATGTCCCGTATTTTCTTTTTTTTTCTTTTTCTTTTTTGAGATGGAATCTCACTCTGTCACCCAGGCTGGAGTGTAGTGGCACCATCTCGGTTCACTGCAACCTCCGCCTCCTGGGTTCAAGCGATTCTCCCGCCTCAGCCTCCTGAGTAGCTGGGATTACAGGCATGCGCCACTGAGTCCGGCTAATTTTGTATTTTTAGTAGAGATGGGGTTTCTCCCTGTTGGTCAGGCTGATCTCAAACCCCCAAGCTCAGGTGATCCACCCGCCTTGGCCTCCCAAAGTATTGGGATTACAGGTGTGAGCCACCGCGTCCGGCTGTGTTTGTTCTTATATTTGCTAGTTCTTTGTTGAAATTCTTCATCCTGCTCCTACTCAGCTTTTTGGTCTCTCATCTGCTGCCTTTAGTTTCAGAATCAGCAAACCGTTAACATAAAACTAACCTCAAAGGATAAAGTCCCCTTGCTTGGTTTCCTTCCTCTTTTATGTCTTGGAACCCTAAATTCTCTCTGCCTTGGAAGCATGCCAAGTTCTACAGACAGATGTTCTTTGGTTTTTGTTCATCTTTTACAGTTGTTGTTGTTTTTTTTGTTTTTTTTTTGTTTTTGAGACGGAGTCTCACTCTGTTGCCCAGGCTGGAGTGCAGTGGCGCGATCTCGGCTCACTACAATCTCCACCTCCCGGGTTCAAGCGATTCTCCTGCCTCAGCCTCCAGGGTAGCTGGGACTACAGGAACCCACCAACACGCCTGGCTAATTTTTGTATTTTTAGTAGAGAAGGGGTTTCACCATGTTGGCCAGGATGGTCTCGATCTCTTGACCTCATGATCTGCCTGCCTCGGCCTCCCAAGGTGATGGGATTACAGGCGTGAGCCACCGCGCCTGGCCTAAAGTTTTTTTTTTTTTTTTTTTTAATTAACGGTGAGAAGTTTAGTCTAAAACAACCTAGTCAGATATTTCTGGAAGCCAAACTTCCATCAGCATTTCTTCTGAGCCTACCTCCCAGTCATAAATCCACATATTTACTGAAATTCCTGCTGTGATAATTCCAGTGCAAACAAATCATCACTGTCCTGGAAGGCAAGAACTTTTTAACTGGTCTATCCACACTTGGTTTTTCTTGTTTTCTTTAAGAAATACAATGATATATCAATAATAGGTAAGGACGGCCGGGTGCGGTGGCTCACGCCTGTAATTCCAGCATTTTGGGAGGCCGAGGTGGGTGGATCATGAGGTCAGGAGATGCAGATCAGCCTGGTCAACATGGTGAAACCTCGTCTCTACTAAAAATACAAAAGTTAGCCAGGCGTGGTGGTGGGCGCCTGTAGTCCCAGCTACTCAGGAGGCTGAGACAAGGAGAATTGCTTGAACCTGGGAGGCGGAGGTTGCAGTGAGCCGAGATCATGCCACTGAACTCCAGCCTGGGTGACAGAGCAAGACTCTGTCTCAATAATAATAATAATAATAATAATAATAATAATAATAATAGGTAAGGACATACTTTCTTCCTGGGTTGAAATCCAGTTCCTTCCATGAAATTATGCATGTTAATACATGACACTAATCAAACTAATTAACCTCTGAGTTCAGTGTTCTCATCATTAAAATGAGTCTAGTGATGAAAACACCTTTCCAAAGTTGTTGGGAAAATTAAGTAAACTATCCATACTGGGGACTCAGGGCAGTGTCTGGCATAAAGTAAATGCTCAGAAAACGTTACCTCTTACTGTTTTTGCTTCGTGCAATTCTGACTTCAGGAAGTGGTCTTACAGATACATTTTAGACAAAAATATGATGATGCCATACTTATGCTCAAAACCTGTCCCACTCTCTTGAGGGTAAAATACCAAAACTTTATTTGGCCTTTTAGAGACTCCTGCTCAATCAGTACACATATTCTTCGTATTATTTTTCCATCTGGAGTCCACTCAACTTACAACAGGAAAAATTGTCTCCTGATTAGGGCTTTCACAGAAGCTGTCTCCTCCGTCCACGTCTCCCCCAGCTGCTCTTCCTGTCGCCAGCTCGTCAGTCCTCAGCCCCAATTCCACTCCACACTGCAGGTGGCTTCCCTGGAGTTAGCTCTGAGGGTTGAGTCCCCTTTTCACACAAGGTCGTAGGATTTTTTTTTTTTTCTGAGACGGAGTCTTGCTCTGTCCCCAGGCTGGGGTGCAGTGGCTCGATCTCGGCTCACTACAACCTCTGTCTCCCAGGTTCAAGTGATTCTCATGCCTCAGCCTTCCAAGTAGCTGGGACTACAGGTGTGCACCACCACACCCAGCTTAGTTTTGTATTTTTAGCAGAGACGGGGTTTCACCATGTTGGCCAGGATGGTCTCCACCTCTTTTTTTTTTTTTTTTTTTGAGATGGAGTCTCGCTCTGTCGTCCAGGCTGGAGTGCAGTGGCACGATCTTGGCTCACTGCAAGCTCCGCCTCCCAGGTTCACGCCATTCTCCTGCCTCAGCCTCCCAAGTAGCTGGGACTACAGGTGCCCGCCACCATGCCCGGCTAATTTTTTTGTATTTTTAGTAGAGATGGGGTTTCACCGTGTTAGCCAGGATAGTCTCGATCTCCTGACCTTGTGATCTACCTGTCTTGGCCTCCCAAAGTGCTGGGATTACAGGCGTGAGCCACCGCACCCGGCTGGTCTCCATCTCTTGACCTTGTGATCTGCCTGCCTTGGCCTCCCAAAGTGCTGGGATTACAGGCGTGAGCCACTGCGCCTGGTCACATTCAGATTTTTTATTTAAAAGGCACGGATGAGCCCTTTCCACTCTCTCTTCCTCTTTCCCCTCACTGGTAACAGAGCACTCCAAGGTTCTAGGGGAGGTTGGACCCCAAAGTTGGAAGAATCTGGGCACCTGAGTCACCTGATGGAGGAGCTCCAACTGCCAACCGGGGGCCCCCATATGGACGTGTCACCCAGTGAGAAGTGAGCCTTCCATTGTGACAAACTGCAGGTATTTCAAGGCTAATTTGTTAAAATCTACGGTTAATATGCTATATATGACTTTTGAATAGTCAGAGGTGTGCCCTCCACATTAGACTGTGAGGTCCGTTGACTTGTGTGGCTCGTCTCTGACACAGACTCAAGCCCTTAATAGGCGCCTGGAAACGTATGTTTTCGTTCACACAAAAAGGAAGTTGACCAAGCCCCCTTGATGAAGCCTCACTGGGGAGGTGGCCCATCGAAGGTTGTATATTGTGAATGGGGCGAAGGCAGCGTCGCCGTCTCCTTCAAGTCTGACCTCCAGGTTGGTGTTCAGATTCCCCCTCCACACCCCACAGCCGTGGTTGCCCGTCTGGATTTGGTGTTTGGGTCAGAGATGACGTTCGGGCCGGGCGTATGGATGATGATGTCCAAGGAGACAGTTCTCTCCTTTACCCCAGTCACAGGAAGGAAGAACTAAGCCTCATGGTGACTTCCTGGGAGATACGTGGTAAGAAGCCACAAGACGGTTGGGACTGAGTCTCTGCGCACCGCATCCTGAGCCTCTGCATTCTGCACAGCGGGGCGGGCGCAGGCAGCACGGTGCCCCTTACCATGCTTTCTTCCTGGACTTTCCCTTGACCAGTCTTGGCACGGCAGGCGAGGGATTGAGGGATTGGGGCTGGGAGGTGGGGAAGACAGCTCTCTCCCTGGGCCCATGTCTGGTTAGATCAATGCTGTGGGAGCTTAGCGATCGAAGAGGGAGCAGAGATGACGGCGGGACGGCATTGTCTGCCCAAGCCTCAGGCTTCGCAGCCCAGGCTGGGACCAAGAGCTTACAGACGTCATCGAGTGCAGATTTTGAGCGACGTACTGAGCATTGTAAATCCAGATTTCTCTTCCAGAGCTGAGTCTGGGCCACAGGACCTGGACACAGGAGGGTCAGTCTTTCCGGTAATGGTGAGGGTCTGTCTTCTTGGAGCAGCACAGCGGACTCCCACCAGGACAGTGGATGCTGGGTACGGAAGGGCTGGGCTGAGGACAGTGGATGCTGGGTACCGAAGGGCTGGGCTGAGGGGGTCACTTTGGCAGTGGTTCTGGAGTCTAAATTTCTAAGGGCCTGGAACTCAGGAGACTCTAGATGCTGATTCTTTTCTGGAGAACTTCTCCAGAGTCACCATCCTGGCTTGTGCAGACTCAACATTCCACCTGAAGAGCTCTGGGAACCTCTGGGGCTGGGAGCCTTCTGGGCCTGATGAGTTCTGTTGGGATGGAGAAGATGATCTTGAAGTTAAAGATTTCAGTGGGAGTCCAGGAAAACGTCGCAGCTGTCCATCATACCCACAACAGCAAACGACTCAGGACTTTGCCAAGGTCACTGCGGCAGCCAAAACCACAGCTGTGATCTGGGGCCGGACTCATACCCAGGGGTTGTCTGGGTTCAGGTTCTGCACCCCCGGTTCAGAGAAAGAGGAAACGGAGTGGGCCGTGTGGACCCCGTCCTTCATCGAACTCCAGAACTAAGGGAACTGGGAGGGGAGAAGGCCGTCACCCTTGCACAGAGCTGCCTCCTTCAGTTCTAGTGGTTTCTACTCCTCTCTGCAGGTTAGCTAAGACGTGCATGGGTTCCAGAGGGAATATGACAATATTTCTCTTTAATATTACTTGAACCTTTGGTTTTGATTTCCTTCTAAGTACAGGGGAGTCAATCACCCCACATGGTCCATCAATCAGGTGTCACAACATCATGCTCCTGGGCTATACATTCTCAGGTACATTTCTTCTTGAGATTATTTTTCACGTGAGGCAGAAATATGTGGCTGCTCACCAGAAAAAAAAAAAATTCTGTACTTACCCTTACAGTGCAAGCATTGGAACCTCTGGGAAGTGGCTACCCCCACCAAGGGACTTTTTCCCTGGTCTTGTTGCATCATTGTGTGACTGTTCATAACACTATTTATAGCCAACAATTCTGGACAGAAATGACATGTGTCAGCAAATTTTGCAAGTGCACAGATATATTCTGTTTCTCCTTCTTTCTTGCTGTTTGAAGTACGGGACGCCATTGCCCAAGGGCATGATGGGAGCACAATGGAGGAAGCGGGTGTCCCTGAGTCATCCTGGGGAGAAAATTCAAATTCTGCCCCAGAGAAAACCGCACTGGTCATTTACATGAGTGAAAAGCCAAATCCCATTGTGTTAAGCCATTGGTGCGATCTCGGCTCACTGCAACCTCTGTCTCCCTGGTTCGAGCTGGGATTACAGGTGTGCACCACCACTCTTGGCTCTCACTCTTGTCTCACAATAGTCGTGAAATAATTTGTGATTTGCTATTTGACCCTGTTCCCATAATCATTACACTAAGAGCTAGGTTGAGGGCAGGGACTGGATCTGTTTTGTTCATTCCTGAATCTCAAACACCAAGCGTATAAGAGGTAATTGATAAATATTGGTCTATCGACTTATTTATTTTATTTATTTATTTATTTTTGAGACGGAGTCTCGCTCTGTCACCCTGGCTGGAGTGCAGTGGCGCGATCTCGGCTCACTGCAAGCTCCGCCTCCCGGGTTCATGCCATTTTCCTGCCTCAGCCTCCCAAGTAGCTGGGACTACAGGTGCCCGCCACCACGCCCAGCTAACTTTTTGTATTTTTTTAGTAGAGATGGGGTTTCACCGTGTTGGCCAGGATGGTCTCGATCACCTGACCTCGTGATCTGCCCGCCTTGGCCTCCCAAAGTGCTGGGATTACAGGCGTGAGCCACCACACCAGGACTGGCTTTTTAATTTAATTTTGTTTTTTTAGGACAGAGTTTCGCTTCTGTTGCCCAGGCTGGAGTGCAGTGGTGCGATTTCGGCTCACTGCAACCTCTACCTCCTGGGTTCAAGCAATTCTCCTGCCTCTCAGCCTCCCAAGCAGCTGGGATTACAGGCGCCCGCCACTATGCCCCTCTAATTTTGTATTTTTAGTAGAGATGGGGTTTCACCAGGTTGGCCAGGCTGGACTCGAACTCCTGACCTCAAGTGATCCATCCGCCTCGACCTTCCAAAATGCTGGTATTACAGGCATGAGCCACTGTGCCAGGCCAGTTGATCGACTTTTAAAGAAAGAATATTCACAAATTTAGATTTAGAGAAGTTTATAAGGAGGCCGGGCTCAGTGGCTTACACCTATAATCCCAGCACTTTAAAAGGCTGAGGTGGGCAGATCACGAGGTCAGGAGTCCGAGACCAGCCTGGTCAGCATGGTGAAACCCCGTCTGTACTAAAAATACAAAATTATCTGGGTGTGGTGGTGCATGCCTGTAATCCCAGTTACTCACGAGGCTGAGGCATGAGAATCACTTGAACCCGGGAGGCGGAGGTTGCAGTGAGCCAAGATCATGCCATTGCACTCCAGCCTGGGTGACAGAGTGAGACTTCATCTCAAAAAAAAAAAAAAAAAGAAAGAAAGAAAGACAAGTTTATAGGGGAAGTGGCTTGTCAAAGTTCTCTGAGGCTGTGGGACAGGAAGTCACAGGAGAAGCTCATTCTGGCTGACTTCCCAGCTGGTGTTCTGCACCTCTATCAGTATCTTAGGAACCAAGTTACCACGACACACCTATTAGAGTGGCCAAATTCTAAAACGCAGACAATACCACATACTGGCCTACTGGCGAGGATGTGGAGCAACGGGAACTCTCATTCATTGCTGGTGGGATTGCCAAATGGTACAGCCACTTTGGGAGACAGTGCGGCAATTTCTTCTAAAACTAAATATAGCTTTGCCATGTAATCCAGCAATTGCATTCCTTGATATTTACCGAAGGGAGCTGAAAACATACGGTCATATGGATCTTTACAGTAGCTTTATTCATAATCGCCCAAACTTGGAAGCAACCAAGATGCCCTTCAGTAAGTGAGTGGATTAACTATGTGTCCAGACAATGGAATATTATCCCATGCTAAGAAGACACAAGCTCTCAAGTCATGAAAAGATGTGGAGGAGAGTTCAATGTATATCACTACACGAAATAAGCCCGCCCAAATGGCGTATCCACTGTCTGATTCCAACTATGTGACATTCTGGAAAAGGCAAAACTATAGAAAGAGTGTAAAGTTCATTGGTTGCCAGAATAAAAGGCTTGGACAAGAGGAAATCATCCCAGTGGAAATGGAGAAACGCAGGAACAAATGAAGAGCAACAGAAGAAGCTAAATATTTGGGTAAAGACAGGAATTTTGAATGATGATTTCATCATTAATGAATTAAGAAGACATTGATGCGTGCTCATTCTATATTTGATGACATTGCAAACATTGTTTTGAAAACTATACTTTGCACTAAAATTAAAAACGAGGCTGGGCACAGTAGCTCATGCCTGTAATTCCAGCACTTTGGGAGGCTGAGGCGGGCAGATCACCTGAGGGCAGGAGTTCAAGACCAGCCTGGTCAACATGGCGAAACCCCATCTCTACTAAACATACAAAAATTAGCTGGGTATGGGGTCACACCCTTATAATCCCAGCTACTCAGAAGGCTGAGGCAGGAGGATCGCTGGAGCCTGGGAAGTGGAGGCTGCAGTGAGCTGAGATTGCACCATTGCACTCCAGCCTCGGTGACCCACCTTAAATAAATAAATACAATTTTTAAATGATAGCATATATATATATACACACACATATACATACACACCAAATAGGTACATCGATGAGAGAACACTATATTTACAAAAGTGCAAGGGAAATTTGAATATAAGACTTCAGATGCTGGTTACGGTACCTGAGGTAGGAGGGGGAAACAGGCTGGAGTATACACTACAGAAATAGACATGCTTTATCAATTGTCTGATTTCCCTGGAGCATGTTGACTTCACGTTGATTTTTTTTTACATGTTCTGTTAAAAAAATTTCTTTAAATTGGCCTTTGGAAATTTACCAGCAGTGTGCTGGTAAAGTCTTGACAATCAGCTCTCTGAAAAAAAAAGCAAAAAGAAAAACAAAAAACAACCCCGACGTGTAGCATTTGCCGATTTCTCTGGTGTAAATACTCACAGCATGGCTTTGACATGAGTTTTACATTTGGTAAAAGCAAATTGTGCCTACTTTGAATAGAAGGATTGGGACAGAGATATGGTTCTTGTCAGGCACTAATTAGGGAGTAAGGCTTGTCTAATATTGCCTTGGCTCTCAAGCAAAATAAAAAAAAAAAAGTAACGTTTGGGAATCTGTGTTGCTTCCTCAGCCCCATCCTGGGTAAAATCGGAGACGTATACAGGGCAGGGAGAAGCTGTTTATTTCCGTGCCTGCGGCTGGAGCTTCTTAAGGATTTGAGCTGTGATGCTGGCACCTGGCAGACCACATCCTGTGCGGTTTTCAGTTTTGCTCCGTTCCTGACCCTGGTATAGCAGAAGCTTTTTCACATCTATGACACCCGCTATGTCTTGGTAAACCCTGGAAGGGAAAGGAGGACAAGGTTAAAATACTGTTCCGAGGACCTGGTCTCTCCACAGCGCAGGCTGGAGGTGGCAGCCCGTGGAAAGCCAAGTTCATCCACCATCGGAGCCCAGGCCAGGCTGCCAAGGCTAATATTCAGGACAAAGCCAGGCACAGGTCGGGAATCCTATGAAGATGATCATCGTCCTGAGGTCTTCCTTCCAGGGTTGCATCCGCGACAGAAGATGGAAAGAGAAATGGGTGAGTCCCTGCTACCACACCACCCTCAGGTTGCTTTTTTGGCTGAACAAGAAGGGTCCTCCCAGGCAGGAAGGGTGGGGCACAGAAACGTGAGCCAATGTGGATGACTTGGGGAGGGCTTTGCAGTTGAATCTCCTGAAAACAGCAAGAAGTACAGACCTCCGGGCATTCTAGACTCAGATTCTGTAGACGCTTCCCTTTGGCCGAGCCAAGCCAGGGTTGCTCAGGAACTGGGGTCCTTGAGATTGGATTAGATTGGACGGAACGACACAGGATTGCAACGTGCTGAACTGTGAGGACCGGGGTTTAGCTTGAGTTCCCCAGTCTGTCCACGAGGTCCAAGCTTGAGATCATTACGGCGACCACATCTCAGGAGGAAGATAGGTCAGCAACGCAGTGACGTGCTGGAATAGTTTTGAAATATTTGAACTATTCTAATGCAAACTCTTCTTTTAATGACATTTCACATTGCATCTTGTGTCATTTTATTTCTGTAGATGTTGTCTTTCCACTTGACATTTAATTGGTGTTTAATTTAAGTTGCAAATATTGTGTATGTATCTGAGTCTAGTGTGAGAATCACTACTCTATGCCTGTGCATCCCACATCAAGTAACGTTTTTGAGTGAGGGAGCTGTGCCATGCTGAATCTGCAGCATGCCTTGGACATAAGCATGTAGCTTGTCTTCTCCAGCTTGGAGGAGAGTCTCAGAGGAAAGGTCTTAGAGGAATGCAAAGGTGGAGGGGTCCTCATAATATGGAACAACGACAGCTCTGTATCACCCTTCTTATGGAAAAACCCAGAATAACTGCCCATGTGTTCTGTGACCTTGGATTGTGGAGGAACAGACGGATGTCGATTCTGCCAGCCACTCCTTCCCCAGTGGGCAGCACATCCTTGCCCCCCAACCTTCCTGGGCACCTGGAGTTCAGATACTAGGGGAATATTAATCAGGGTCCAACCAGGAAAACAGAAACCCTTCTCTGCAGTTAACAGAGAGGGAAGTAAATGCAGGACGGTGCCCCTGCATTGGATCCCAGCACAGGCAAAGAACGTTAGTGGAAAGATGATGAAATCCAAAGAAAGCCTGTCAGTTAATTATTGTACCAGTGTTAATTTTTTTTTTTTTTTGGCGGATGTGCTGGGGTCGTGTAAAGCATGAACATTAGAGGGACCTGGATGAAGGGCATATGGGAACTCTCTGTACCTCTGCAACTCTTTTGCAAGTTTAAATTTATTCCCAGGTAAGAAGTGTGTTTAAAAAATGAATTAGTCGGCCGGGTGCAGTGGCTCACGCCTGTAATCTCAGCACTTTGGGATGCCAAGGTGGGCGGATCACCTGAGGTCGGGAGTTCGAGACCAGCTTGACCAACATGGAGAAACCCCGTCTCTACTAAAAATACAAAATTAGCTGGGCATGGTGGTGCGCACCTGTAATCCCAGCTACTCAGGAGGCCGAGACAGGAGAATCGCTTGAACCCGGGAGCCAAGATTGCACCATTACACTCCAGCCTGGGCAACAAGAGTGAAACTCAGTCTCAAAATAAATATATAAATAAATAAATAAATAAATAAATCAGTCAACAAATACATATCAAAAAGGAACCAGTGGCCACATGGAGGCAAAGGAGCATGAGGAATCTTCTGAGCAGTGAAGAAAATCTTGGATATGTTGGTGGTTTCACAGCTGTCAGAATTCACTGAATTGCACAGATTAAGTGGATGCAGTTTGTGTGCAAAGGATCCTTTGATAAAGCTGAATAAAAATCACTAATGAAGACCTAAAGTGAAAAGAGGCAGGGAGGATAATCTAATGCATAGAAACCATTATGCCAGTAAAAGAAGAGTCAGAAGCAGGAAAGTCATTCTCAGGAGCCACTGTGTTTTGGCCTCATGTTCAATGCTAAGTTTCAAAACAAATGTAGTATTCCTTGCAACCATGAGAAGTTGGTGAGTGATTTGAAATCATTCTTATGATGAGGTGGAAGCTTTTGGAATCTGTACCCCTGCACTTTATCCTTGTCCTCATGATTTACAAAACCATGAAAATAAAGCTCAGTTAATTCATCATCATCAAGGTGAGCTCCAGGTTCAGTATTCAGCTTGAGGCTGGGGACTCCATCTTTCTTTAACTTTTGACTGCATAGCCTTCACTTAGTTTTTATATCTCTTAGGCATTACAAAAAATTAGGCCAGGCGCGGTGGCTCACGCCTGTAATCCCAGCACTTTGGGAGGCCGAGGCGGGTGGATCATGAGGTCAGGAGATCGAGACCATCCTGGCTAACAAGGTGAAACCCCGTCTCTACTAAAAATACAAAAAATTAGCCGGGCGTGGTGGCGGGCGCCTGTAGTCCCAGCTACTGGGGAGGCTGAGGCAGGAGAATGGCGTGAACCCGGGAAGCGGAGCTTGCAGTGAGCCGAGATTGCGCCACTGCAGTCCGCAGTCCGGCCTGGGCGACAGAGCGAGACTCTGTCTCAAAAAAAAAAAAAAAATTAAAAAAAATATATATTTTTTTAGATGGAGTCTGGCTCTGTCACCCAGGCTGGAGTGCAATGGCACGATCTCGGCTCACTGCAGCCTCCGCCTCCCGGGTTCCCACCATTCTCCTGCCTCAGCCTCCTGAGTAGCTGGGACTACAGGCGCCCACCACCACGCCCGGCTAATTTTTTGTATTTTTAGTAGAGACGGGGTTTCACCGTGTTAGCCAGGATGGTCTCGATCTCCTGACCTCATGATCTGCCCACCTCGGCCTCCCAAAATGCTGAGAAGATTACAGGCGTGAGCCATTGCACCCGGCCTAAAAAATCTTTAACATATTATATTAAGCAGTTTTAGTTGGTTTATTGTTATTTTTTAGATGGATTGCTGTCTTATGGACTCACAGAAAATTGGATTAGATTGGAAGGATATACCAGGGACTGTAACATGCAGAACTCTTTGAGGACCAGGGTTTAGCTTGAATTCCCCTGTCTGTCCACGAGATCCAAGTTTGTGATCATTACTGTCACCACGTCTCAGGAGGAAGACTGGTCAGCAAGGCAGTGATCATGCTGGAATGTTTTTGAAACGTTTGGACTATTCTGATGCAAACTCATCTTTTAATGACATTTCACACTACATCTCATGTCACTATATATGTTTTTAAATTTTTAATTTTTGTGTATACATAGTAGGTGTATATATTTATGGGGTAGATGAGATGTTTTGGTACAGCACGTGACTCCCTCTTAGTTATGCAAATTTCTCCAGCAAGTCGTTGCCCAGCAGCCTACTTGAATTCCTCCCCTGAAAACGGACTTTTCTTTTCTACCATGTGGCTAGTCCGCAAATTTTTCGAACTTTTACACTTTGCTTCTCTTTTAAATATAAACTCTACCTTTAGGTAATTTCTTTGCTCCCACATCTGAGCCTAGGTTGGTACAAGAAGCCATGCCACTTGAACACTTTGTTGCTTAGAAATTTCTTCTGACTTGGCCAGGCTTGGTGGTTCACGCCTGTAATCCCAGCACTTTGGGAGGCCGAGGCGGGTGGATCACGAGGTCAGGAGATCGAGACCATCCTGGCTAACACGGTGAAACCCCGACTCTGCTAAAAATACAAAAAATTAGCCGGGCGTGGTGGTGGGTGCCTGTAGTCCCAGCTAATCGGGAGGCTGAGGCAGGAGAATGGCTTGAATCTGGGAGGCAGAGGTTGCAGGGAGCCGAGATCGCACTGCTTCACTCCAGCCTGGGCAACAGAGCGAGACTCCGTTTAAAAAAAAAGAAAAGAAATTTCTTCCGCCAGACACCCTGGCGTGGTATCTCTAGGGCATGGACAGAATGCAGCCACGTTGTTTGCTAAGGCGTAACAAAGGTGGCTTTCGCTCTAGTTCCAAGTAAGATCCTTATTTCCAGCTGAGACCTTGTCAGCCTGGACTTCGCTGTTCACATCACTATCAGCATTTTGGTCACAACCATTTAATCCATCTCTAAGAAGTTTCAAACATTCCCTTCTCTTCCTGTCTTCCTCCGGGCCCTCCAAATAACATGAGGTCTATTCCGTTAACAAATTTCAAGTGAACAAGACGTTATTGCTGACGATGGGTCGTATGTGGTGCAGCAGATCTCTAGGCCTGTTTGTTAATAACTCCCCATTTCCCCCTCCTCCCAGCCCCCGTAACCACCATTCCCTGCTGTGATGTTGTGACTCTGGTGACTTTGCAGATCTCCTGTAAGTGACATCATGCAGTACTTGGTCTCTGCCTCTGCGTCGCTTGGCGTGATGTCCTCAGGTTTCGTCCGTGTTGTCGCCCATGGCAGAATTTTCTTCCTTGTTTAAGGCTGAATAGTATTCCCCTGTGTGTGCACCACATTTTCTATATCAATTATTCTATCAATGGACATTTAGATGGTTTTCACGTCTTAGCTATTGCGAATAGTGCTGCAGTGATCAGGGGAGTTCAGACGGCTCTTTGACATACTGATTTTTTTTTTTTTTTTAGACAGAGTCTTGCTGTTGTTGCCCAGGCTGGAGGGCAATGGTGCAATCTCAGCTCACTGCAACCCCTGCCTTCTGGGTTCAAGCGATTCTCCTGCCTCAACCTTCCAAGTAGCTGTGCCCACCACCACACCCAGCTAATTTTTTGTATTTTTAGTAGAGACAGGGTTTCACTATGTTGGCCAGGCTGGTCTCGAATTTATGGCCTCAGGTGATCCACCCACCCCGGCCTCCCGAAGTGCTGGGATTACAGCTGTGAGCCACTGCGCCTGGCCTGTTTCTTTTAAATACAGACCCAGAAGTGGGATTGCTGGACCATATGGTAGCTCTATTTTTAATTTTTTGAGGAACCTCCCCACTGTTCTCTATAGTGATTGCCCAATTTTTAATTCCTACTGTGGTATGCGAGGGATCCAGTTTCTCCACATCCTCACCAATAGTCTCCTTAAAAAAATAATATGCTTTGTAGGATATTTTTAACGTGTTAAATACCTTGTCGGGATTTTAGCATAGATCACAATATTAAAAACTTGGGGAAGGATTTCTATGGCTCCCATTTGTAATACAAGGAAATGTCAGCTTCTAGTTTTGTAACGTCTTGCCCAAGAGCTGCGACCGTTAACTTGTGGAGTTGGGACGGCGTCCAAGTCAATTGGTTGCCCGACCTTTATTCTGCCTTGTCCCATAGATTTAGAAAGAGGCTGACACATCTGGTAACTAGTTTACGGTCATCTGCCTCTAAGCGACATTTAGGGTAAGCGACATTTTTCAGAAACCAAGGCCCTCCCTCTCGTCTCACTAGTGGGAAGGGTGGAAAGAACAGGACAGAAAGCTCTTCCTCTTGTGTGAGGCAGTTGCTGTGGAAGCCCCATAGGCAGGAGGCCCCCGGGCAGCACATCCTGTCTGCTTGTGTCTGCTGCAGAGTTCTGTCCTTGCATTGGTGCGCCTCAGGCCAGGCTGCACTGCTGGGACCTGGGCCATGTCTCCCCACCCCACCGCCCTCCTGGGCCTAGGTGAGTCCTGGAGGCAGCCGGGAGGCTGGAAAGGGGGTCGGGAGGTCTGGAAAATTCCCTGCTCAAGCCTGACTCTAGTCCAGAAGATTCTGGGGAGGAAAGTGTCCTCCTCCTCCCAAGACTGCCCTGCTGCTCTCCCTGGGGCCTAAGTCTGATCAGAGAAGATCTTGTCCTAAAAACAGGGGCCCGGGTGTGGGGATGAGGTCAGCTTTAAGAAGGGCTGGGGGAGCAGGAGCCTTTTTGGAGGAGGAGACTTTGGGATTTATCTTGAAACCATTTTGCAGCAAGAAGGATTACATGGAGACAGTGATGTCGAGGAGGGTTGGCTTGGTCGTTATGAAATGCTGAATGCCCCCCAGCTCCATCGAGCCCCCTTTTGACAGCAGCCCCGTAAGGAGACTGGGCACTGGGCATTTTTCTCACTGGGGCTTCTCTTCCAGTGCTCTGCCTGGCCCAGACCATCCACACGCAGGAGGGTAAGTCATGCCTTCGTCCCATCTTCCCAGTCCCCTCTGTCACCCCAAGGGCAGTGCTGGGTGGGAGTGATGTTGATTCTTAGAGGGCCTGGAGAGATCCCTTTAAATATACCCTAGATTGCAAACTCTTCCAAATGTAAAATGCATAACCAACCCTCACCCAGTTCTCTCTCGCATCCTCCACCTGTCTTATTTTGCTTTTCTTATTTTCAAAAATTTTATTTTTAATTGACAAATAATTGCAATTTGCGGGGTACAGTGTGATATTATGACGTATGTACACATTGTGGAAAGATTAAATAAAGCTGATTAACATATCAGCCCCATCACATACTTATTGTGATGAGAATATTTTAAATCTCCTTTTAGCAATTTTGAAATATACAATAAATTATTATGAACTACTGTCATTCTGCTGTGCCATAGATCTGAAAAATTCACTCGTCCTGGCTACTCGAAACTTTGTATCATTTGATCAGTGTCTCTCCCATGCCCCGCACCTGCAGCCTCCAATAACCACCATTCTACTCTGCTTCCGGGTGATCAACTTTTCTTAGATTCCACAGATAAGTGAGAACGCGCAGTAATTGTCTTTCTGTGCCCGGCTTATTTCACTTAGCCTAACGTCCTCTGGTTCATCCATGTTGTTGCGAATGACAGAATGTCCTTCCTTTTTTAGGGCTGAATAATATTCCATTGCATATACACAGCACATTCTCCTCATCCATTCATTTGGTGGTGGGCACTCAGGTTCTTGCCAGGTCTTGGCGGCTGTGAGTAGCGCTGCGGTCACCCTGGGAGTGCAGGGGTCAGCTCCGCACACCGATTTCCACAATGAGAATTCAAACCCAACACAACCAAGGCTGAGCCCGGCACTTTTCCCCAGACGAGCCCACACTTCACTCGGCAGCTTCTTGGCGGGGAACGTGACAGTCACAAAGGGCAGACTCTGAACACTCATCCTCTTCTCCATCCTCCTGGATGCACCATGTCACCCAGTCCTGGTGATTTCACTCTAAATTTTTCTCATCTTTCCCTCTCTCTTCATCGACTTTTCCTGCATCACCCCCAGGTGACAGCCCCTCTCCCCTCCGTGGCTGCCCGAGGCCGGCCTCAGCCTGTCCATTGCCACTGCTGCCTGCTCCCTTCCTGACCCCAGGGACTGGCGATTTGCAAAAGCACAACCATGACCATTGTACTTTCCACAGTTTTTAAATTGTATTCAAAAATTTTCATTTAATATCTCATCGTAAGATGAAATCTTTTTTTTTTTTTCTCAGAGCCCTTCCCCTGTTTATCTTCAGATAGAATCAGACCTGTGCACCTCTCTTTGGTCTGGACATGCCCATTTTCCCAGCCACATCCTGTCCCTGTGACCTGGGGCTCACTCATCTCTACATTCCTCCAGGTTCTTTCGCTTTCTCAAACACTCCATATGCCGCTCAATATGGTGGTTCTTCTCACATGCTGATTTTGAAAAAAAATAATTCATTTTAAAAATGACCAATGAGGCTGGGTGCGGTGGCTCACATCTGTAATCCCAGCACTTTGGGAGGCGGAGGTGGGTGGATCACTTGAGGTCAGAAGTTTGAGACCAGCCTGGACAACATGGGGGAAACCCCGTCTCTACTAAAAATACAAAAATTAGCTGGGCGTGGTGGAGTGCACCTGTAATCCCAGCTACTCAGGAGGCTGAGGCAGGAGAATTGCTTGAACCTTGGAGGCGGAGGTTGCAGTGAGCTGAGATTGCGCCACTGCACTCCATCCTGGGTGACAGAGCAAGACTCTGTCAGTTCACAGCTGCAGATTTGGACAATTCTTTGATCAATACCGGTCCTCCCTTCTGGAAGTCCACCTCCAAACGGCAGGCATCCTGTGTGTGTTTCTCACATTTGTGGAATTAGCAGCCCATGAAAAACGTCTTTAAACAGATTGATAAGTAACTGAGATATGGTTAAAAGAAAGAAAAATGAACAAATGGGTGGGTTTGGGGAGATGCTGGTCAAAGGATAGAAAATTTCGTCTAGACAGGAAGAGTAAGTTCAGGATTGTGCAACACAATGACTAGAGTTAATCACAATGTATCATATGCTTGAAAATCACTAAGAGGGCAGATTTTAAATGTTCTCACCACAACAATTAACTACGCAAAGTGAGGTTATATTAATTAGCTTGATTCAGCGATTCCACAGTGTATACCTGTATCAAAACATCATGTTGTACACCTTAAATACATGCAGTTTTAATTTGTCAATAATAAGGAATGAATGAAGACGGGACGAGTGAATTGAAGCCCTGCCAGCTCTCTGCCCCGCTCAGGGATTTTGCTAATTTTGACACAACCTTCCTGTTTCAGGGCGTCAAACCCGCCCTTCCTCCTCCACCCCAAGCCCAGTTGAGATAAATGGGGTTTTTCAAGAGCCTTAATAAGAAGGAAATGCAAATTAGGCTGAGAAGAAAGTAGAAACTATAGAGGAAAACCCAGAGGTGGTGTCTCCACAGAGATCTGCATTAGCAATGGGGACCTGTCACGGGCTGGGCATCTGCTGTGAGCAGATCAGGGCTGGGGGCTTCACCCTCACCCCACCAGACCCTCAAAGGAGCCTGGCAACCCCCGTCCCACACTCAGTCCCACCCGGGGACCGGCCAGTGCCCTTCAGGCCCCAGCACAAGCCATCTCCAGAGCCCTCGCTTCTCTGTCCCTTGTCCTTCACCAATGACCCTGTCATCCCCATCCTGTGCCTCCCTCCCACACTCTGTCCCTCTGGAAAGTGGCCCTGGGCTCTGCAGCAGGCATGAAGGGCTCCAGGCTGCTCCGACACTTCCCACATGACCCTGAGCAAGGCCCAAGTTGTGAGCAAGTCTCAGGGTCCTCACTGTCAACTGGGAAAAAACTCTGCAGTGATGAGAATCACATGCACGTAGAAGGTGCAGGAGGCTTGGGAATGTTCTAAGGTTGGGCTGTGGTCATGGCTGCATAACTCTATAAAATTGCTAAAATCCCTGAATTGTGATGCTAAAATGACGTGTGTGGCATGGTGACTTCCTACAGTGGACGCTGAGATCCTGCTCTGCTTCCCTCCTAGAAGATCTGCCCAGACCCTCCATCTCGGCTGAGCCAGGCACCGTGATCCCCCTGGGGAGCCATGTGACTTTCGTGTGCCGGGGCCCGGTTGGGGTTCAAACATTCCGCCTGGAGAGGGAGAGTAGATCCACATACAATGATACTGAAGATGTGTCTCAAGCTAGTCCATCTGAGTCAGAGGCCAGATTCCGCATTGACTCAGTAAGTGAAGGAAATGCCGGGCCTTATCGCTGCATCTATTATAAGCCCCCTAAATGGTCTGAGCAGAGTGACTACCTGGAGCTGCTGGTGAAAGGTGAGGACGTCACCTGGGCCCTGCCCCAGTCTCAGCTCGACCCTCGAGCTTGTCCCCAGGTCCCTGGACCCTGTCCCAGCTGCTGTCCTCTGTGGCCAACCTTGTCCTCCTCCTGACCGCCAAGCCCTCCCCTTCCCCTCTCCGTCTGCACACACCTCCCCTCTGCCTCATACTTGCTTAGGTCCCTGGAGCCCTGATCTCCTCTGGACGCCACGGATGGCGTGGACACTCAGCTCCAGCATCTGGTGGGCTCAGAGCTGGCTCTGCTTGGCTGGGTGGGGAGTGGGTTCCCAGAGATTAGGGGGCAACCCCCCTACAAGAGGATGAGTGTCTTTTCACACGGGATGGATGGTCCCGCTTATTCCTTTCCACTGAGCCAGAACCTGCCCCAGGCAATGTGCTTCTCCTGGAGTGGTTCATCTCCCACTGGGCAGAACGCAGGGTCCAGGGATGGCCCCTGACCAGGGCGGGACAGTGCTTTGGGAAAACCTTTGGTATGTGACCACATGCACTCCTGTGTGTGCTCAGCCCGAGATGTCCTGGAGTCAAAGTCCACTGGAGAGGCTCCAATCCACCTTCATGTCCCCCCAGGACCTCAAAGGTCCCCTGAGGTCAAGAAGAGCTTGTGGTGGGAGGAGCAGAGGGAGTGACCAGCCCCAGGGAGAATGGGGCAAGCAGCGGGGCTCTCCCCAGCCTCCTGTCCCCTGCCTCGTTTTCTCAGGAGTCTCGAGACATTGTCTGGGATTGCGTGATGGTCATGCGGCCTTTGGATGGGGGCTCAGGGTGGAGGAGGGCAGGTTGGTTGGGACGGGTTCTAAATCCTTCTCCTGCCCCTGTTTACAGAAACCTCTGGAGGCCCGGACTCCCCGGACACAGAGCCCGGCTCCTCAGCTGGTCAGTAGCAGGGCCCTCAGCTGGAGGGGATTACAGGGGAATCTGTGCTGCGGATGCTGTTCCGGGTCCAGCCCTCTGCCCTGGGCTTGGAGTCAAGGTCTAGGGAGGCCACGGGAAGGCACCGACACCCACCAAGCTCTGGGAGGTCGCTAATGCTCACAGAGACCATAGCAGCAATGGTACAGTGATTGCAACCTTGTTCCATGCCAGGAACTGTGGAAAGCACTTAATGCAAGCACCACTTAATGGGGGAGGTACTAGTCTGATCCTCTAACTCCTCCTCCTCTCTAATATGCAAAACATAAATTAAAGTTTCGTGCTTAACGGCACAAGGCCATGAAGGGGCAGGGGCCACCCACCCGGGCAGCCCCACCCCAGACTTCCGGGCTCGCCCGAGCTCCACGCTGCCCCCTTGTGGGCGTGGCCTCACCATTCACCCCGCTCTGCACCTGATGGAGGGACTTAGAACTCACCTTCCAACCTGGGACACCCGGAGAGGGACGGGGCTGCTCCTGTTGGCTCTGTGATCTCCGGGGGAGGCCTGAACGGTGGAGTAAGGTCCCTTAAGAGGAGGAGGGCTCCACAGGGAGGGGACGTAGCTGTGAACGGTGACCAGGATGAAGCCATGAGGCTTCCCTTCCATCTGGCTCTGCCCTGGACTCTGTGATGGGATTGAAGCTGCCCCAAGTCCCTGGGTCTCAAGTTGTCCATCTCCCCCTGTGATCTGTGACCAGAAACTCCCAGGGGAGGACACGGGGTCATAAGCCATTCGCGGCCCCTTCCCCACCTGGGTTTCTATCCCCAGAGTACGTCCTTGGACCTAGACCCGGTGACTGCCTGTGAGGCTCGGGCTGTGAGCTCAGGCAGGTGGGACCAGGGGCTGAAGCCACATGGGGAGGTGGGAGGAGCGATGCCGTGCTCCATCCGGACCCCCTCAGAGGCTCCTGGGCTGCTGGGGCACAGCGGGACATGCTCCTGAGTCCCGCAGACCTGGTTCAAGTCCAGTGTCTGGTTTTTATTAGCCTTCTGTCTGCGGGAATATCTTGCCTCTGTTTCTCTCCCTCTCTTCTTCTCCTTCCTTCTCTCTTCTCTCACCTTCATGCAGTGACATATAAAGGTCACGAGGACAGACCCTCCTGCAGCCAGATTGCTGGGTTCATGGTTCAAATCCCGGTGGTTCTGCCACCTCCTGGCTCTATGCCTGACGGTGACTCACCCAAACCTCCTGTGTCCCAAATTCCTCATGTGAAACAGAGGCAATAGAAGAGCTGTCCTGGTAGAATCGTTTAGGGCAGACTTGAGTTCAGGTACACACGGCGCTGACATCAGTGCTGATTAGAAAACCCCAAAGGAGGGATGCTCCTATTAATACTGAGGAAGTATTTTGTCCTCACAGGGACTGTGCCAGGCACTGAAGCCTCCGGATTTGATGCACCATGAATGAGGAGAAATGGCCTCCCGTCTTGTGAACTTCAATGGGGAGAAATAGTTAGAATGAGCAATAGAAATGCACTGATTCCCATACATGCATATACAGATAAAAATATATGATTTGCAATGTAGAATTTCAGACCTATAATTTAAATTATATTATATATGTTTACATCATAATATATATATATTATATATATATTATATATATAAGGAAGATAATTATATAATAAAACATGTTAGTGTATCACTACATATGACTATAGTGTATATTATATATTATATGAAAGATATATTTACAATATATAGTATAATAAATTTCAAGTGTTATAGTTAATAAATAAATATAGGTATTAATGTAAATATATTATCTATTATGTATACATTATGTATAACTATAATAGAAAAAATATTTTATATTTAATCATAGGTTTATATCAAATATAAATTATACATTATATATTATAGTGAATATATGTAACATATATTATAAGTTATAAATCATATACAATTAACATTATATACATTAAATTATATGTATATGTCAAGATTACATAATTAAAAATATATTTGTTATATATTATACATTTGCATAATACATGATACATATAACTATAAATAATATAAAAACTGTAATATTGCACATATATAATACATATGTAATTTTAAATGGTGGCAAATGTTATGAAGACCAAGCCCAGGAAGTCATGGTGTAGAATAACGGGTGGTGTCCTGGACCTTAGACCGTGGACGAGGCAGGAGGGAAGGACATTCCAAGAGAGAATGTCTGCCTTTCTTGAAGGATATTGAAGATGCTGCCTCAGCCCCGGGGGAGGGGAGGGACCGCTGTTCCTGGAAGAGGGACGCTTGGCTCGGACCCTGGGTTTGGGGGAGCCCCTCAGGACCCCATTTAGCCACCTGGGAATTGGGTAGTGGCGTGCACTGTGCAGAGGAGGGTGAAGGTTGGAGGAGATGACGGGCGGGCCTGCAATGCGCTGCGTAGGGAGCCTGGGCGGTGCCCCACACACTCGCCCGCTAGCTGCAGGGCTTCAGGAAAGAGGAGCACATCGGGACTTGGATTCTTCCCACAGGAGGGCGGGTTACATCCCCGTCAGAGGGTTGCCGCGAGGGCAGATAAAATCAGACATGAGGATTCTTGCCCTCTGGTGGGAACCCAGAAGGAGGTCAGGGAGGGAAGGTCTCCCTTCCTCTTGTTGCGGGTGGTTGGTCTCTGCCTAGATCCGCAGAGGGCAGAAATTAGCGATGTCTACTACAGCTTCACGCCCAGGAAACGCGCTGTATCTGCACCGTCCAGTAGGGATGGCATCAGGCCCGTGGGGTCACTGAGTCCTGGAGGTGCAGACGGTGCAGCCAGCTTCTCATGCCATTCAACTTTGGATAAATTTAAATATCAATAGCTATGTGTGACTCTCATGCTGGACAGTAGATGTAGAAAGTTTCCATCATCACAGAAGACTCTGCTGGTCGGTGCTGGTCTAGAGGGAGCAGTCAGGGTCCTGGGGAGTGAAGGGAGATCCCCACAGTGGATGTGGGAGGACTCAGAGCCTTCTCTGTCCAGCTCAGGACTCTAACTCCTCCTCCTTCTGATTCCTCCCTCCCAGGACCCACGCAGAGGCCGTCGGACAACAGTCACAATGAGCGTGAGTGATGGGGGCCGTGGAGCATGAAGCTGGTGTGTGCCTCTTGGGGAAGGAGAAAGAGGTCAGGCTTTGGGGTTGATCAGATTCCTGCTCTGCCAATGGCAGTCTGTGTCCCTGTGCAGAGGACTCCAGCACTCAGGACCCCGGTGGTGGAAGAAGGGGATAACGATCCCTGTACTGCAGGACTATTATTTACCTAAGATATTTTATATATTAGTAAGTCTATGAAACGCACGTGACGTGTGTGTGGTATACAGTAGGTGCTCAATAAATGCACACTGCTGAAATCCTGTTTCTGTCTTTCTTAGATGCACCTGCTTCCCAAGGCCTGAAAGCTGAGCATCTGTATATTCTCATCGGGGTCTCAGTGGTCTTCCTCTTCTGTCTCCTCCTCCTGGTCCTCTTCTGCCTCCATCGCCAGAATCAGATAAAGCAGGGTAGGTCTCAGGGGCAGGGTGGGGTGACCTGGGAAGCTGTCAGGAGAGGCTAGGAAGAAGGTCTCCTTAATTCACACCCCGACTGTCCTTAGGGCCCCCCAGAAGCAAGGACGAGGAGCAGAAGCCACAGCAGAGGTGAGGCCCCTGGGAATGACTCCTGGACCTCCACCCAGTCCTCGGCCGCCAGGCTGCCCCTGAGGTTCACTTTTATTTTTCCTCTTAGGCCTGACCTGGCTGTTGATGTTCTAGAGAGGACAGCAGGTAAAGGGGGAGGAGGAGGGACAGGCCTGGGATGGGGAAGTGGGGACTTGGTGCCAATCCAGATGCAATGTGGGGGGTGGGGGGAAGAATCTTTGGGAACATTCTAGAAGGTCGTATTATACATTGGGTGCAGGATGTCATCGGAAGCTGGGGGTGGGGGTCTCAGGCAGATTTGCCTTGCGACATCCTCCCCAGAAAACTGACCATGTATTTTCTCCCCAAGACAAGGCCACAGTCAATGGACTTCCTGAGAAGGACAGAGAGACAGACACCTCGGTGAGCCTTCCTACTAGTTATTAAAGTACCCCAAATTTAGCAGCTTAAAAAAATCTCAGTTCCTTGGGTTAGGAATTCAGGAGTGGCTCAGCTGGGCGGTTCCGGCTCACGGCCTGTCCTGAGGTTGCTGTCGAGAGGTCGCCCAGGGCTGTGTGCATCCGAAGGCTCCCGTGGGCTGGAGGATCCACGTCCAAGACGCTCACTTCCCCGGCTGTGGGCAGGAAACCTCTGTTCCTCTCACAGGGGCCTCTCCACACAGCCGGCTTCCCCCAGAGGGAGGGATCCAAGGATGGGTGGCAGGGAGGGGACAGAAGCACCATGTCTTTTGGCTCAGCTTGGAAGTCAGGAGTCTTCCCTTCTGCCTTGTTCATTGTCACGTAAACCAACCCCAATACCCTGTGGGAGGGCTCTTCACACGGATGCAATTTAGGAGAGGGTCCTCAGGGCCCATGGAGATGGCCGCCACAGCCCTCCCTCCCCACAGCCCCTCGCCTCACCCTCCACCAGGCACTCCCTCACCCTGGGTCTCTCCCTCTTAGGCCCTGGCTGCAGGGAGTTCCCAGGAGGTGACGTATGCTCAGCTGGACCACTGGGCCCTCACACAGAGGACAGCCCGGGCTGTGTCCCCACAGTCCACAAAGCCCATGGCCGAGTCCATCACGTATGCAGCCGTTGCCAGACACTGACCCCATACCCACCTGGCCTCTGCACCTGAGGGTAGAAAGTCACTCTAGGAAAAGCCTGAAGCAGCCATTTGGAAGGCTTCCTGTTGGATTCCTCTTCATCTAGAAAGCCAGCCAGGCAGCTGTCCTGGAGACAAGAGCTGGAGACTGGAGGTTTCTAACCAGCATCCAGAAGGTTCGTTAGCCAGGTGGTCCCTTCTACAATCGAGCAGCTCCTTGGACAGACTGTTTCTCAGTTATTTCCAGAGACCCAGCTACAGTTCCCTGGCTGTTTCTAGAGACCCAGCTTTATTCACCTGACTGTTTCCAGAGACCCAGCTAAAGTCACCTGCCTGTTCTAAAGGCCCAGCTACAGCCAATCAGCCGATTTCCTGAGCAGTGATGCCACCTCCAAGCTTGTCCTAGGTGTCTGCTGTGAACCTCCAGTGACCCCAGAGACTTTGCTGTAATTATCTGCCCTGCTGACCCTAAAGACCTTCCTAGAAGTCAAGAGCTAGCCTTGAGACTGTGCTATACACACACAGCTGAGAGCCAAGCCCAGTTCTCTGGGTTGTGCTTTACTCCACGCATCAATAAATAATTTTGAAGGCCTCACATCTGGCAGCCCCAGGCCTGGTCCTGGGTGCATAGGTCTCTCGGACCCACTCTCTGCCTTCACAGTTGTTCAAAGCTGAGTGAGGGAAACAGGACCTACGAAAACGTGTCAGCGTTTTCTTTTTAAAATTTAATTGATCAGGATTGTACGTATTCAAGGTGTAAAATGTGATAATTTGTCGTACACGTACATTGTGCAATGACAGTCACAATCAATTCCTCAGCGCACCCATCACCACGAATACGATACATTAGATATTCTGAACTTGCTCATCTTAGGACTTCACATTGGTGTCAGTGTTTTCTGACAAATCACGTGTATCAGGAATGAATGAGGGAGGTGTGGCTGGGTGAAGGCAGAGAGCCGACCCTACAGGTCCACATCTGCACATACATGCACAGGAATGCATGCTCTCACACACATGCATACACACACGCACACACACAGACATGCACATACACTCACACGCCCCAGGAAATCCAAGGAATCACTGAGCCTGCTGTTGGTTGAGGCATTTCTGAGTATCCACCCTACCTGTAGGGTCAGATGTACTGATTGACACAGAAAATTACCCTATGTACCACTAGGAGGCGGCAGAATCTCATTTGGGTTAATCTGTGTTTGTCTTTAAAAAACAAAAACAGGCCGGGCGCGGTGGCTCACGCCTGTAATCCCAGCACTTTGGGAGGCTGAGGTGGGCGGATCACGAGGTCAGGAGATCGAGACCATCCTGGCTAACACGGTGAAACCCCATCTCTACTAAAAATACAAAAAAATTAGCTGGGCGTGGTGGCGGGCACCTGTAGTCCCAGCTACTCGGGAGGCTGAGGCAGGAGAATGGCGTGAACCCGGGAGGCGGAGCTTGCAGTGAGCCGAGGTGGTGCCACTGCACTCCAGCCTGGGCGACAGAGCGAGACTCCGTCAAAAAAAAAAAGAAAAGAAAAGAAAGATTTTTAAGAATTCAGCAAAAACTCAGCCAGCTCTTTCTATGGGGCAGTTGCTAATTTAGTTCTAGGCAAACGTGGACACATTAAATTCTCCTACAAACCCTCCACAGCGTGCTCTATTATTTTCCTCATTTATAAAAACAGAAACTATGGACCGAGACATGAAGTAACCTGTCCAAGGTCGGCCAAGTCTCAGAGACAGGGGCTTCAGACCCACCTGAGGCTCCTGACTCCACATTATGAACCCCGGGATGGGCTGCAGCTCGGTCTGCTGGGAGGTTTCTGTGCTGGTTCAAAGAGGGTGGTACCTGACTGGCCTACCCAATTTTAATTTGTACTGAGCTTTAATTTTCTATTTGTGCTCAGGTTTAATTTCCTCCTGGGATCTGCTTCCCAGTGCTGTACTCTGTATCTTTGCTTTCTTGTGTGAACATTGTGACCGATTTTCCCTGTTCTTCACGTGGGACACATTCTCCCTGCTCTGTCTGTCTCTGTCCCTGTCTCTCTTTCTGTCTTTCTCTCTCACTGTGTGTCTCTCTGTCTCTCTCTCTCTTTTTTTTTTCTTTGAGATGGAGTTTCGCTCTTGTTGCCCAGGCTGGAGTGCAATGGCGCAATCTTGGCTCACTGCAACCTCTGCCTCCCGGGTTCAAGCGATTCTCCTGCCTCAGCCTCCTGAGCAGCTGGGATTACAGGCATGCACCACCACACACGGCTAATTTTTTGTATTTTTGTTAGAGACGGGGGGCTCTCCATGTTGCTTAGGCTGGTTTTGAACTCCCGACCTCAGGTGATCTGCCCACCTCAGCCTCCCAAAGTCCTGGGATTACAGGCGTGAGCCACTGCGTCCAGCCGTCTTTGTCTCTTTTTCTACATCTCTGTCTTTCTTCTCTGGTTGTTTTTCAACCATCAGCCGGGTGTTTTCCCCCATAACGTCTTGTTTGTTTGACTATGAGGTTGACAGGTGGGTACATGAACTCTATAGCAGAAGGTGGACAGTCTGCACATAGCAGAGGATGGGTGAATTTTTCTACCCCTTGCAGAGCACAGGAGAGCTGAGCAGATGCCAGTGTCTGCTCCAGTGTAAGGAAGTCCAGGAAGTTCAGGTGGTGAGGTCACAGTGGAAAGCAGGACAGATAGAGTTTAGGGGAAATTAAGCAAAAATACCACACTGTTGTTTCTTGACATATTAGTGGAAAGAGGAAGGGCCCAGAGAGAAGACAGAAAATTAGATGCAGGGGCTTGTTTTTTCTCTTGACTTGCCAACCCGCCCAACGCAGGGGCCAGAACTCAGGGTGGTGAGATCTGGGAACATTGCTGTGCGGAGAAGATGTCCCTCCTGCTGCACGGGCCCCCAAGCACCACCTGGGGGAAGAGCCATGTTTAATTCACCTGGCAGTGCAGTGTGGCCAGGCAGAGAGGGAGGGCCTACCCTGTGCTTATGATCCCACCCCAGTTCCCCTGGGGTGTGCCCTGGCGGTGAACACCAGGAGGCTGCAGTGGGGCCCAACGTGAAAGGGAGGAGCAGCCTCACCGGGGCCAGATGGGGCAGCAGCAGATATTCACAGATGTCCCTGTGAGTAACCAGGGCAGAGGCCAGGGGTCTGGCCTTCCCTTTCTTGGAGCCCTGGGCCAGCTGGGCAAGGCGTTGAGAGAAAGATTACCCGGTGACCTTTATCAAAGCAGAGTAAGGAGGGCTTTATTCAGAACCATCACTGTAGGTACCAGGACCCCAGCGGTGGGATTTTGTAGTAGGGGAAAGAAAATGGGCTCGACGTTGAATACAGCATGAACAAGTGAGAATGTTTGTTATACAAACTATAGGGTGGACTTTTTTTTTCTTTTTTTTAACTTTTTTTTTACCTTTTAGTGTAAAACTGAACATAGAAAATAAATTCATGAAGAAGGGATATTTTCTGAGGGTGTCCAGGGCTGCCCAACACCTCTTGTCTACCTTCTCTGTCATAGCCCCATTTAAAACACTCTCTCTGGATGAATACACCAAACCTCACAGTCTTTGCTCTCTTGCTAGGAAGAGGAGCAAGAGCGTGTTTCACTCTTGGCTCCTGCTTACACACCTGCCGTCCAATGGAAACTACTACTTAAGACATTTAAAAATAGTTGTGGTGATAGCATGTTGTGTTTTGGTTGGTGATGCCAGTTAGTCTCTGAAAACTTTCTGTGATGAGTGTAAAATTCTACACCTTAATCTCCTTTCTTGTAGGATCTGGGAAGCAGTATGCACTTGATTGCACCAAAGATTTTACGTTCATAGAAAATTTCTGGCATCTGTGTGAAGAAAGTAAACTATATCTTCCATTTAAACAAATAAAATATCTTTTTGATAAAAGGTGACTATATGTTTAAGTCTTAGGGAGAAGAAAGAATCAAGGAATATAAATGTGTTGATGTCTAAATGCAATTCTGACACTTAACCAGATTTAAAAGTGCTTTGAGAGTCCCCAGAGCTCTGCACCTGCTCTACATCTACTGGGATTTAGAGCTAAAGCTTCCTGAAACCGTTGTTCTGCTTGGTCCTTCAGCAGTGACAACCTGTTCTGTTCCAATTGCTAAGATCTGAGTTGTGAGAGCTGCGGGATGGGAATTTTCCTGTTGCCGTTCCAAGAAGTAAAATGTGCCTCATTTAGTCCTAAATTGTACCTCCATAAAAATCACTTTGGGCCGGGCGCAGTGGCTCACGCCTGTAATCCCAGCACTTTGGCAGGCTGAGGCGGGCGGATCACGAGGTCAGGAGATCGAGACCATCCTGGCTAACACGGTGAAACCCCGTCTATACTAAGAATACAAAAAAATTAGCCGGGCGTGGTGGCAGGTGCCTGTAGTCCCAGCTACTCGGGAGGCTGAGGCAGGAGAATGGCGTGAACCCAGGAAGCGGAGCTTGCAGTGAGCTGAGATCGAGCCACTGCACTCCAGCCTGGGTGTGACAGAGCGAGACTCTGTCTCTAAAAAATAAATAAATAAATAAATAATAAATCACTTTGATAAAGAAAGGACAAGGTCTTTATTTTTTCATGAATTATTGCCGTTATTTAAGGGCATACAGAGCCATCATCACAGCTGGTCTAGGATTCACAGATATTTTCTTGTTGCCTTTATTTACCATCCAGCTCAATTTATTTAGTACACTATATATATTCATTTCTGAAATTGCTTTCTGCTTTTACAGACCCCTCCTCCTTCTCCTATTTGGATTTATTGATTGATCTCCAGAACAAAGTTGCTAAATTTATTACATTTGTTGTGATAAAACATTTTCTTCGCAACAAAAGAAAAAGATTTGTGCACATATACTACGTGAAATGCGTGTTATTTTCTCATTCTTCCACCTTCTCCCCATCCTCTATAACACTGGGGCCAAACTGCTATTGATTATTGTACATTCTTTCGGAAATGTCTTTGATTTTTCTAAAGCATCTTTTTCTTTTAACTAATCTGTACTTTACCAAGATTCTAATTTCCCAAATTTTCATACCAGTTAAATCACATCATAACTTAATAAGTTGTTCATTATTAAAGAAATACAATGTTTTTCAACAATAAAGACAGTCCTATTTTTGATGCATCCTAATTTGAATTCTTTAAAAACCATTTACATTTCAGATCATTATAAAATTTTCGTTAAATTAAACATGACTAAGAAAGCCGGCCAGGCGCGGTGGCTCACGCCTGTAATCCCAGCACTTTGGGAGACTGAGGCGGGCGGATCACGAGGTCAGGAGTTTGAGACCAGCCTGGCCAACATGGTGAAACCCCATCTCTATTAAAAAGACAAAAATTAGCTGGGCGTGGTGTCCTCCCTCCATGCATCCTCAGGATCTGTGTCCTCCCTCCATCCATCCTCAGGATCTGCGTCCTCCCTCCATCCATCCTCAGGATCTGCGTCCTCCCTCCATCCGTCCACCCTCAGGATCTGCGTCCTCCATCCATTCACCCTCAGGATCTGCGTCCTCCCTCCATCCATCCTCAGGATCTGCGTCCTCCCTCCATCCATCCTCAGGATCTGCGTCCTCCATCCATCCACCCTCAGGATCTGCATCCTCCCTCCATCCATCCTCAGGATCTGCGTCCTCCATCCCTCCACCCTCAGGATCTGCGTCCTCCTTCCATCCATCCTCAGGATCTGCGTCCTCCCTCCATCCACCCTCAGGATCTACGTCCTCCCTCCATCCATCCTCAGGATCTGTGTCCTCCCTCCACGCATCCTCAGGATCTGTGTCCTCCCTCCATCCACCCTCAGGATCTGTGTCCTCCTTTCATCCATCCTCAGGATCTGTGTCCTCCCTCCATCCACCCTCAGGATCTGTGTCCTCCCTCCATTCATCCACCCTCAGGATCTGTGTCCTCCATCCATCCATCCACCCTCAGGATCTGTTTCCTCCCTCCATCCATCCTCAGGATCTGTGTCCTCCCTCCATGCATCCTCAGGATCTGTGTCCTCCCTCCATCCATCCTCAGGATCTGTGTCCTCTCTCCATCCACCCTCAGCGCCCTCTTTCAGAAGATCTGCCCAGAGCATTCTGGTCTTCTTGATGGCTTGGTCTCTCGGTGGGAGAAGCTCTTCCTGGCTATGTGTGGTCAGCCATTGTGGTCCTTTTCTGGTCTTTGAATGTTTCTATAACAGCACTTATAATCATTTGCAGTAACATACAGTTGAGCTTTGAACTCCACAGGTTTGAACTGTGCAGGTCCACTTGTATACAGATTTTCTTTCAATCACAGTTACACGAGTGTGCCTGCCTTTCCTGCTTCCCCTCCCACCTGTTTTACCGCATTTTCTTTTTCTTTAGGTTTTATCTTTAAGTTTATGAGTTATATTTAAAAATATTTTTGCATCATATCTATTCAAGAAAATACACTTATATTTCTAAACCAAAACAAGAAACAAGACACAATTATATCCGTCTAATTTTATTTAATCTCTTCTGCATGGTTTCTCTCTCTCACACAAGTATCCACTTTTAAAGGTTTAGGTCAGGCATGGTGGCTCACGCCTGTAATCCCAGCACTTTGGGAGGCCAAGGCGAGCAGATCACCTGAAGTCAGGAGTCCAAGACCAGCCTGGCCAACATGGTGAAACCGTCTCTACTAAAAATTAAAAAAAAAAAAAATTGGCCAGTGTGGTGGTTGTCAGGCCTCTGAGCTGAAGCTCAGCTATTGTAATCCCTGTGACCTGCACATATACACCCAGATGGCCTGAAGGAGCCAAGAAGTCTGGGGCAGCCGAAAAACCACAAAAGAAGTAAAACAGCCAGTTCCTGCCTTAACTGATTAACCAACATTACGACGTTCCACCACTGTGACTTGTCCCTGCCCCACCTTAACCGATCAATCAACTTTGTGACATTCTTCTTCTGGATAATAAGTCTTATGATGTCCCCACCAGGTACCTTGTGACCTCCTCCTCTGCCAACAATAGATGACCACCTTTTACCGTAATTTTCCTCACCTACCCAACTCCTATAAAGCAACCCCTTCCCCATCTCCCTTCGCTGACTCCTTTCTCAGACTCAGTCCACCTGCACCCAGGTGAATTAAAAGCTTTATTGCTCATACAAAGCCTGTTTGCTGGTCTCTTCACATGGACACGCTTGGCAGTGGTGCATGCCTGTAATCCCAGCTACCCAGGAGGCTGAGGCAGGAGAATCGCTTGAACCCAGGAAGTCAAGGTTGCAGTGAGCAGAGATCGTGCCATTGCACTCCAGCCTGGGTGACAGCATGAGACGCTGTCAGGAAAAAAAAAAACAAAAAACAAAACAAAAAAACTTGACGGGAGGGTTAATTACCATCTTCCTACAACGAGGAAAATGGATGGGGCAGGGGAGGATGTCACCTGCTGAAGGTCAACTGACAGTAAGTATGAACCCTCATGCCTTAAACCAAAGCTTGGGAATTTCTTCCAGTGAATGCTTTGGCCCAAAGCATGGAGACAGAATTCACGGTATCAAATGAAGAGTTATGGACAGGGGAAGAAGAGGTTGTAAATGACTTGGAGATTTGATGGAGTTCCCACTTATAAGTGAGAACATGTGGTATTTGGTTTTCTGTTCCTGTGTTTGTTTACTAAGGATAATGACCTCCAGCTCCATTCACATCTCTGCAACAGACATGATCGCGTTCTGGTGCTGCTACTTATAGAATTAAGAAAGTCGGAGGGAAGAAGTGCTTGGGAGAAACAAAACTAGACAGCAGGGCCAGGAGGGAGATAGTGCTTCCTCTGCACTCCGTGAACAGCCTTATAAATATCTCCCTAGCCTGGTTCTTCCCCGGGATCATTCATCCTGGGATGACACCATTCGTTCCTCCAGTAAACTAAGGCAGAGAGTGAAACAGACCCTAGTTGCTCACTCACTTTTGTTTCACATACAGTGAACAAATCCAAGCAGTTGTACCCTTGAGCCCTCCTCACCCACGTCCCCGGGTCCATTCCCACAGTGCAAGCTCACTGGAGACTGAAGACAGCCTGTCTGTGCCACCACATCAGCCTCCTCCTGGTCCTCTTCTCCAAACCCTCACTCCAGGCTGACATCTATTATTCTCATAGCCCCAACCTTATCTGTAGCTGACTCTTCCCTGATCAAAATCCTTCTCCGGGTCTGAATCTTCCTCCAAGTAAGACACAAGTATCTCTGCCTGATGTTCATGTTGTTGATGACCAGGACTAAGTTAACATCCCCAGCGCCAAAAAACATGGCTCCTTCCTACAGAGCAAATTCATTACAGGAAACCACTTCCGCCTTTTTCCCACCCACCACACCCCAGACAGACACCTGGAGATATTAACATATTTCTGCCTTCTCATAGTCAGCTCCCCGAGAAAATTTTTATTTTTTTATGTTTTAATTTTTTATTTATTTATTTATTTATTTATTTGAGACGGAGTCTTGCTCTGTCTACCAGGCTGGAGTGCAGTGGCGCGATCTCGGCTCACTGCAGCCTCCACCTCCAGGGTTCAAGAGATCTGCCATCTCAGCCTCTAGAGTAGCTGGGATTACAGCCCTGCACCATCACGCCCGGCTAATTTTTTTTTATTTTTGGTAGAGACAGGGTTTTCCCATGTTGACCAGGCTGGTCTTGAACTCCTGACCTCAGAGGATGTGCCTGCCTCGGCCTCCCAAAGTGCTGGGATTCCAGGCGTGAGACACCGCACCCGGCCTATTCTTGTTTTCAAAATCTCGCTCATTTCTGAACTTCTGTGCCAGTGACTTCCTAGGCGAGGAAATGCCCGATGTACCTTTTCTTGGACTCCAGTCCACTCCAGACATTTTGTCTCCACCAGTAACTGTGGCCATTGTGTGGAGGAAGGAACAAAAGCAAGAAAGCGATTTTCTGAGCAGGTTTCTATGAGCACCAGGTTCTCACCCTGGTAGGGGCAACTACAGGACCCGAAAGTTAATCTCCCCTGGGTATGACACCCACTGTGCTACTTTCCTCCCCAAGGAAATATAGCTCCCCAGCTGAACCACCACGTGGGTTTGGGGATGTGAAAAAGGGAAATGAAAGAGAAGGCATATTTATGATTTCAACCACACTGGGAACTCATGGAAGCTGCTGTAGACAACTCAAGCATGAGAGGCCAGGCTAAATTTGGAGAAAAAAGAGATACACAACTCCCATTTTTAGAATCCAAGAGGCCTGGAGTTTGTATTATTATTATTTTATTTTTAGCAGCAACACTTATATGGAAAGTACTTGGACACCTTGAGGTCTGCGTGAAAGTTGACTCCAATTGTGATGAGTACGGAAGCTCCTATCTCAGGATTCTCATTTTAGGGAAAATCACTGCTGGTCTGGATTTGTTTTTGTGTGTTTTTTTGGGTTTTTTTTTTTTTGTTTGTTTGTTTTTGAGACGGGGTCTTGCTCTGTCGCCCAGGCTGGAGTGCAGTGGCGCGATCTCGGCTCACTGCAAGCTCTGCCTCCTGGGTTCATGCCATTCTCCTACCTCAGCCTCCCGAGTAGCTGGGACTACAGGCACCAGCCACCACGCCCGGCTAATTTTTTGTATTTTTAGTAGAGACGGGGTTTCCCTGTGTTAGCCAGGATGGTCTCGATCCCCTGACCTTGTGATCCGCCCGCCTCGGCCTCCCAAGTTGCTGGGATTACAGGCACGAGACACCGCGCCCAGCCTCTGGTCTGAATTTAACTCCGGACAGCTCTTTCTTTCTTTTTTTTTTTCTTTCTTTCTTTTTTTTTTTTTGAGACAGAGTCTCGCTCTGTCACCCAGGTTGGAATGCAGTGGCGCGATCTCGGCTCACTGCAAACTCCGCTTCCTGAGCTCAAGCAATTATCTCCCTCAGCCTCCCCAGAAGCTGGGATTACAGGTGCCCGCCACCACGCCTGGCTACTTTTCATATTTTTAGGAGAGACGGGGTTTCACCTTCTTGGCCAGGCTGGTCTTGAACTCCTGACCTCATGATCCACCTGCCTCGGCCTCCCCAAGTGCTGGGATTACAGGCGTGAGCCACCGCACCCGACCACGGACAGCTCTTTCTAACCAGAATCATCACCTGGACTTCTGAGGCTTGAAGAAAAGATGAATCCTCTTCTCACTCACTTGATTAAAAAAAAAAGTTGGGGTCAGGTACGGTGGCTCACGCCTGTAATCCCAGCACTTTGGGAGGCCGAGGCGGGCGGATCACGAGGTCAGGAGATCGAGACCATCCTGGCTAACACGGTGAAACCCCGTCTCTACTAAAAATACAAAAATTTAGCCGGGCGTGGTGGTGGGCGCCTGTAGTCCCAGCTACTCGGGAGGCTGAGGCAGGAGAATCGCTTGAACCAGGGAGGCGGAGTTCGCAGTGAGCCGACATCGCGCCGTGGCACTCCAGCCTGGGCAACAGAGCAAGAGTCCATCTTGAAAAAAAAAAAAAAGATGAGTCCATTCGCAGATCTTTCACTTTGAAAATCGAATCTAGAGGTTCTTCAAGTTCTGATGACTCTAATCACACACATATCTCAAAACCCTCATGACCTCCACTTCCTGCATCAACCTGATCCAAGCACCTGTCATTTCTCACCAGATCAATTCGCCCACCAGTGATCTCCATCTGTTGCTTCCTCACGTTCTCCTGAAATTCATTTCCCCCAGTAAAGCCGATTTATCCTCTTCATGTTCATTCATGCAATATAAAAACACAGATACAGCCGGGCGGGGTGGCTCACCCCTGTAATCCCAGCACTTTGGGAGGCCGAGGTGGGCAGATCACCTGAGGTCAGGAGTTCAAGACCAGCCTGGATAACATGGTGAAACCCCATCTCTACTGAAAACAAACAAACAAACAAAAAAATACAGGCCGGGTGCGGGCTCACTCATGCCTGTAATCCCAGCACTTTGGGAAGCCAAAGAGGGTGGATCACCTGAGGTCAGGAGTTTGAGACCAGCCTGGCCAACATAGTGAAACCCCGTCTCTACTAAAAATACAAAAAATTAGCTGGGCGTGGTGGCGGGCACCTGTAATCCCAGCTACTCGGGAGGTGAGGCAGGAGAAGCACTTGAACCTGGGAGGCAGAGGTTGCAGTGAGCCAAGATCGCGCTACACCACTGCACTCCAGCCTGGGCAATAAGAGTCAGACTTCATCTAAAAAAACAAACAAACAACAACAACAACAAAAACAAAACAAAACAAAAAACTCACACACAAATATATTTACCAGTGGGCACACAGGTGATCCTTGTTCCCTCAAAAAAAAGAAACACACACACAAACATATATTTACCAACGGGCATAGAGGTGATCCTTGCTCCCATCTTCTCAATTTCCATCTCCAGAGGCAATCAAGTACCTCTTTATTCTGTTTCCTCTCAGAGACACCCCGTGTATGTACATTTCTCCACACGCCGTGCTCTGAGACTCATGGCTGTATTGCAGATAAGTGTTTTTATTTCTCACTTTATTTCTGTATTGATTTTCAGTTAACAATTGATTGCACATGTCGATGTTCATACGTCTGTTTGCACATCTGGAAATACAGCTCTGTACCACTTTTTCCGTTTCCTCATTCTCATATACATTTTAGACACACTAGGAACATTTCTGCATTTTCTGGTATCAAAATACCGCAATCATCTGCTCCTATGTTGGGCAATATTACCTTTCTGGATCCTCCTCTTGCTCATTGTTCAGTCTTTACCTAACCTGTCACATCCTCAAAAACATTTTTTTTAATGACAAACTGGGTTAAGTGATCTTTGCCCCTAGTACTCACTGCTTTTTTTTGTTTGTTTGTTTTTGTTTTGTTTTTTAACAGAGTCTCCCTCTGTCACCCAGCATGGAGTGCAGTGGCAAGATCTCGGCTCACTGCAATCTCTCCCTCCTGGATTCAAGCGATTCTCCTGCCTCAGCCTCCTGAGTAGCTGGGATTACAGGTGCCCACCACCAGACCCAACTAATTTTTGTGTTTTTAGTAGAGATGGGGTTTCGCCATGTTGGCCAGGCTGGCACTGTTTTTTTTTTTTTTTATAAGGGCAACACACATTCAAGACCTCTAGGTGGCTTAAATTTTGTGCATTTATGCCTCTGTGTGTTGTTTTTAAATAATAGTTCATCTCTTTTGTATTTTTGCTTAATTCATCTGACTTTCTCCATTTCTATTACAAATTGAATGAACAATGGGAGGTTTTGTTCACTATAGTGTTTCTTATTCCTGAAAAAGTTACTTGGAATCTATGACTATTCTCTCATTAATTGTAAAACAAAACAGATAAATGGACAGAAGAATAGTGAGATTATTACTTGGGTTATTAGTAGTACTATTAAGTTGAACCAGAGAATGCAGAGAGCTGAGTGAGGTACAAAAAAAGAAAAGGGGGCCGGGCTCAGGCCTGTAATCCCAGCACTTTGGGGGGCCGAGGCAAGCGGATAATGGGGTCAGGAGATCGAGACCATCCTGGCTAACATGAAGTCCCATCTGTACTAAAAATACAGAAAATTAGTCAGGTATGGTGGCACATGCCTGTAGTCCCAGCTACTCAGGAGGCTGAGGCAGCAGAATCGCTTGAACCCGGGAGGCGGAAGTTGCAGTGAGCTGAGATCGCACCACTGCACTCCAGCCTGGGCGACAGAGCAAGACTCCCTGACCAAAAAAAAAATAAGGCCAGGCACAGTTGCTCACACCTGTAATCCCAGCACTTTGGGAGGCAGAGGCGGGTAGATCACAAGGTCAGGAGATCAAGACCATCCTGGCTAACACGGTGAAACCCCGTCTCTACTAAAAATACAAAAAATTAGCCAGGCATGGTGGCGGGCGCCTGTAGTCCCAGCTACTCAGGAGGCTGAGGCAGGAGAATGGCGTGACCCCGGGATGCGGAGCTTGCAGTGAGCTGAGATTGCACCACTGCACTCCAGCCTGGGCAACAGAGCGAGACTCCATCTCAGAAAAAAAAAGAAAGAAAGAAAGAAAAGAAAAGGCAGTCACAGCCTTTGGCTGCTTCATATTCCTGGCCCTGGGACACCAGGAGCCCCACATGCAGATCTATGGATTCCATACTGACAGCTGACGCATTACTAGAGGTCAAAGCGTGAGGCTTAGGTTTAACTAATTTTGGGACTAATCTGAGACCAGGGAATAGCAGAGTTAAGCATTCCAGAGGTTGGAGATTTTTGTCCTCTGTCCCTGAGTTGTTGTAAAACCAAACCCGCAATATCTCTGCAGCTGAGAAGTTGTCTGTGACTTCAACAAGGCCCAGGAACCTGAACATATTTGAGGAAGGGACCATAGGGTTCTAAGCCCAAGCTGGGAGTTGGGGTCAGCAAGGATCTCATACAATTCTCCCATGAGAAGGGAGGAGAGTTGTGAAGGAGCCAGGGCATAGTGGGTTACAGGCCCTGGACGGGGATACAATGGTGGGTTACACACCCTGAGGGGGATAAAATGGTGGGTTACACACCCTGGTGGGGGGATACAGTGGTGGGTTACATGCCCTGGAGGTGGGGAGGATACAATGGTGGGTTACATGCCCTGGTGGGGGGATACAATGGTTACACGCCCTGGGGGGGATACAATGGTGGGTTACGTGCCCTGGTTGGGGGATACAATGGTGGGTTATACGCCCTGGTCGGGGGATACAATGGTGGTCTGGCTACTCATGCCCCACCTCATTCTTATTCATAGGTGTCTGATATGGTTCGGTTCTGTGTCTCCACCCAAATCCCACCTTGGATTATAATAATCCCCACATGTCAAGGGCAGGACCAGGTGGAGATTATTGAATCATGGGGGCGGTTTCCCCTGTACTGTTCTCGTGATAATGAGTGAGTTCTCATGAGATCTAATGGTTTTATAAGGGGCTTCCCCCTTCGCTCCACTCTCATTCTCTCTCCTGCCGCCCAATAAGAGGTGCCTTCCACCATGATTGTAAGTTTCATGAGGCCTCCCCAGACATATGGAACTGTGAGTCAATTAAACGTCTTTTCTTATAAATTACCCAGTCTTGGGTAGTTCTTCATAGCAGAGTGAGAACAGACGCATACAGAGTCCCTGATCCTCTCAACCAACCTCCACCAAGTATAGACCCATAGTGAGGAATAACTGGGACTCCCCTTTCCAGAGTGTAGATGTGTAAACACCCATCCAGGGCTTCCGAGGTGAGTGTGGCCAGTCTAGCCCTCAGCAAATGCTCCATTCTGTCTACTGACCACGCCCCTCCAGCCTCTGCCATGGAGAATCTCATCCCAATGACCATGCTGTGTTGATCCCGGTGGCCTCTGGGGGATGCTCGTTCAGGCTCAGCACAGCCAGAGAAGGCCCCAGACGGCTTCCCTCATGAAAACTCAAGTTGAGTGTGGATTTACTGCTTACAGTTTGCAGAACCTTGGAGAATCTGCAGAAAAAAACTGAGATAGGGCGGGAAGAATCTGGAGGAGCGGAGGCATGTTCCGGGTGAACAAGGTGCTGCTGCATTCAAGAGGACTATTATTTTTTTCAGGTACAGGGTGTGCAAGAACGAGTTAATCTCACAGCTGCAAGGGTGATAACGTTGGGAGAGTTTGCTTGTAAAGTTGGTCCTTAGCTGGCATCTAGTTCCTAAACATGGCTCCTGGAATGTTCCCTATGTTCCTAAGAGATAAGCTGGTGTTGTGTGACTGCAGCACTGAATTCTACTGTGTCTTGACTAGGCCATTTCCGCAAACAATGTAGCTCACTGTTGATGAGTTTGTAAAAAAAAAAAAATGCTGATGAACAGCAGCTTTTCCCTGGTTTCCCTGTGACTGACCATTATGCCTATATGGCCCCCACCTAATAACAACCTTGAACATTGAGTCTTAAGCAGGTTTGCCTGGAACCAACACTTCACATGCATTGCTACATTTTTTATGCTGATGGAATGATTAAGACAAGACATAGATTTTCACAGCTTATGACCAGCATTCTTGATCTTAAATATATTTTGGTAAAGTTTTTTTTTTCAAAAAGGTAAAAAAAAATTGCTCTTCTAGAAGGATAAAATGGACACAAGTTTTTATTTAGCTTACTATTAACGAGGGAACGGGAAAGATGTTAATACTGAATTCAAAGAAGAATCCATAGAGCAGACATTTAGGGGCTGGTAATGTTTAAGGGGATTCAAAAATGAGCCTAATTTTTGTTATTTTTAGTATAGAGACGGGGTTTCACCATGTTGGCCAGGCTGGTCTTGAACTCCTGACCTCAAGTGATCTGCCCGCCTGGGCCTCCCAAAGTGCTGGGATTACAGGTGCGAGCCACCGTGCCCGGCCATAGAATTGATTTTTAAGTGTGTTAATTCTACCTACTATTTTCACCACAGCCACATCTGCCTACATAATTTCTAGTTGTCTATCTCTTCTCAAATACACTGCATGCTGTCCATCTACCCCCATGCACATGATCTTACAAAGAACATTTCTCCCAGAGACGACTCAGAAATCAGGCCTGTCCAGAGCGGGTGGTTACAGCTGCTCCTGTCCAGGAGCATCAACTCTTCCAAACTTAGCATCTGCCCAAAGTTGTGGCTGGCAAGGCGGAGTCCAATGTGACCTCCCACTCACGTGTGGGACAGATGTCCAGGTGTGACAATACCACAGACAGCCTGTTTTTCACACACACACAGGGGAGATGGAGCCTCCTCCATGGGGAGGCTCTGAGAGGGAAGGAGGAACCATCAGTCCCTCTCACCTGGAAGGGGCTGAATCAAGAAGGCACCGGGTCTGTTTGCTGCTACATCCTGGCCCTTGGTGAGATGAGGACAGATTAGATAGATGCAGCCAAAGTGAGGGGAGAGCCCATTTCTGTCTGTAATATCTCTAGAGAGCCTGGTGTTCACGCCCAGGACAAGCCCTGGGGAAATGAGAGCCAAGCTCCTGGGGAGGGGCAGTTCCTCTTTCTGCCCCTCATGGCTCCCACAAGGAAGCAGAGAGATGGCAGTGCCCATGTGCAAACACAGAAGAGGGGCAGCCACAGCGTCTCACTTTCACCTGGAGCCCTAGGTTCCTCCCTGTCTGTGAGGACCCTGGACTTCCTTTTCTGTGCCACACAGAGATGGAAACGTCCTTTTTTTTTTTTTTTTTGAGATAGAGTTTTGTTCTTGTTGCCCAGGCTGGAGTGCAATGGCGTGATCTCGGCTCACTGCAGCCTCTGCCTCCGGAGTTCAAGTGATTCTCCCGCCTTAGCCTCCCGAGTAGCTGGGATTACAGGCATGTGCCACCACGACCGGCTCATTTTTGTATTTTTAGTAGACACGGGGTTTTGCCATGTTGGCCAGGCTGGTCTCGAACTCCTGACCTCAAGTGATCCACCCACCTTGGCCTCCCAAAGTGCTGGGATGACAGCTGTGAGCCACAGCGCCCGGCCGAAAATGTCCTTCTTAACGACCCCCTTGTGAATCCCCATTTGTGTCTGAAATATCGGCAGAGAGCCTGGTGCTCACCCCCAGGACAAGCCCTGGGAAATGAGAGCCAGGGTCCTGGGGAGGGGCAGTTCCTCTTTCTGTCGGTGTGCTGATGGGACAACCTCGTGATGGGGAGGACCCAGCCTCCGTGTGCCCGCACACCATGTGTCTGTCTGTGTCTACGGGCACCGTGGCCACACCTGCCTGCACAGCCAGGGCCAGGAGGAGGAGATGCCATGACCCTCATTCTCACAAGCCTGCTCTTCTTTGGTGAGATCTTAAGAGGGGGAGGAGAGACCCTAGTCTAGGAGAGAGACCCCAATCCATAGCCATGCCTTAGTCAATTAGGGCATCCCAGGGGCTCAAGGAAAAGAAGAAGACCTGCTCAGGCTTCGGAGGCAAATCTCTCACAGGGAACTCTCTTCCAGGGCTGAGCCTGGGCCCCAGGACCCGGGTGCAGGCAGGTGAGTCTGTCCCCAGCTGTCCTAGGTCCCTCCTCCTCTCTGGGGACAAGGGACCACCCCTGGGCAGCTGGGGGTGAAGACAGCAGTTCTGGGCTGACTGATGGGGATGAGGGGGGTCCTGGGGCTGAGAGCTGGGATCTGAGGGTTGAGGACATCTTGGGACCTAACCTGTAATTTCCTTCCAGAAAACCTACCCAAACCCATCCTGTGGGCCGAGCCAGGTCCCGTGATCACCTGGCATAACCCCGTGACCATCTGGTGTCAGGGCACCCTGGAGGCCCAGGGGTACCGTCTGGATAAAGAGGGAAACTCAATGTCGAGGCACATATTAAAAACACTGGAGTCTGAAAACAAGGTCAAACTCTCCATCCCATCCATGATGTGGGAACATGCAGGGCGATATCACTGTTACTATCAGAGCCCTGCAGGCTGGTCAGAGCCCAGCGACCCCCTGGAGCTGGTGGTGACAGGTGAGAGGACACTCAGGGGTCCCAGCCCCAGGCTCTGCCCTCGGGAAGGGGGTCGGCTCTCAGCTCTCGAGGGGTCTCCCTTCTCACAGCCCAGCCTTGTGGGATAAGGTGGGAGGTGTGAGCCCCATTTAAACACGGCTGCCTTTTTTTCTCTTGAAAGCCTACAGCAGACCCACCCTGTCCGCCCTGCCAAGCCCTGTGGTAACCTCAGGAGTGAACGTGACCCTCCGGTGTGCCTCACGGCTGGGACTGGGCAGGTTCACTCTGATTGAGGAAGGAGACCACAGGCTCTCCTGGACCCTGAACTCACACCAACACAACCATGGAAAGTTCCAGGCCCTGTTCCCCATGGGCCCCCTGACCTTCAGCAACAGGGGTACATTCAGATGCTACGGCTATGAAAACAACACCCCATACGTGTGGTCGGAACCCAGTGACCCCCTGCAGCTACTGGTGTCAGGTGAGGAAGCCGTAGCTTTTCCTTATACAAAGTCAGGGCACCAGGTGAGCTGTTGGGAGCCTTACCCTCGGGCTAGCCCACGCAAGAAGAAAAGATGAGGGGAAGATGGGGGCCCTGGGGACACAAATACAGAATGAGAAAAAAACAAGGACGCTGGAAACCCTAGTGAGGAAGGCTACAGAAGGAAGGGGCGCAGGAGGAACCAGCCGCTCCGAGTCCCGACTCATCTTTCCCTCCAGGCGTGTCTAGGAAGCCCTCCCTCCTGACCCTGCAGGGCCCTGTCGTGACCCCCGGAGAGAATCTGACCCTCCAGTGTGGCTCTGATGTCGGCTACATCAGATACACTCTGTACAAGGAGGGGGCCGATGGCCTCCCCCAGCGCCCTGGCCGGCAGCCCCAGGCTGGGCTCTCCCAGGCCAACTTCACCCTGAGCCCTGTGAGCCGCTCCTACGGGGGCCAGTACAGATGCTACGGCGCACACAACGTCTCCTCCGAGTGGTCGGCCCCCAGTGACCCCCTGGACATCCTGATCGCAGGTGAGGAGCCCAGCGGGTTCAGTCAGGGGGACCCAGGCTCTGCACAGGCCCTGCTGGGGGAGCCCAGGTGGTGATGGCCGGCATGAGGGGTGGGGGTCCTAAGGGAGGGAGAGACAGACAGAGACAGGGGATGGGCGGGGAGGGGGAGACTCAGAGAAGACAGAGACAGACTGAGGGTCCCAGGGAGAGGACTGGTGGGGAGGTCTCAGCTCAGAACAAGGTGGGGCAGCCCCTCACCCGTCCTTCTTTTCTCCAGGACAGATCTCTGACAGACCCTCCCTCTCAGTGCAGCCGGGCCCCACGGTGACCTCAGGAGAGAAGGTGACCCTGCTGTGTCAGTCATGGGACCCGATGTTCACTTTCCTTCTGACCAAGGAGGGGGCAGCCCATCCCCCGTTGCGTCTGAGATCAATGTACGGAGCTCATAAGTACCAGGCTGAATTCCCCATGAGTCCTGTGACCTCAGCCCACGCGGGGACCTACAGGTGCTACGGCTCACGCAGCTCCAACCCCTACCTGCTGTCTCACCCCAGTGAGCCCCTGGAGCTCGTGGTCTCAGGTGAGGGCGCTGACCCTGTCCACTCTGAGCTCAAAGGGGTTCTTGGAAATGAAAAAGGAGAGCTTCCAAGAGAGTGTCCGTCTGTCTGTCTCACTTGCTGCCCCACTTCTTCCTCCATCAGCCCCGGCCTTTGTGAGCCCGGAGCCTCTCTCAGCTCAGGCCCTGCCCCCAGGAGAGTTCAGGACACTAAGAAAACAGGACAGTGAAGGGGGAGGGTCCACAGGGGAGGGCCCAGCCCATGGAAGGGTGGAAATACATGGGAACCTCCCACCGAGGGGAAGGTCCAGCCTATGGGAGTGTGGAAATAGATGAGGACTTCCCACCCTGGGCTCCCACCCCTGAAGTCTCAGTAGGGTAAAGAGTGGAGAGGGCTGCAAGCAGGTGGGGGTGAGCCTTGGAGGAGATGAGATTAGACTGAGGGTGGAAGACGGAGGCCCCACCTGCTCCCTTCCTGATGTCTCCATCTCAGAATCAACATCTGGGTGTCCCCAGCCTCTAAGTCCTGACCCCGTGGGAGATGAAAGCGCAGTTACTCTGACCCAGTATAATATTCTAGACTCATCTCAACCTTATCTCCAATATTCAGGAAAGGGGTCTGTTCCTCAGAGGAACAGAGGGGAGAGTGGACAATAAGGGCGTGGTCCACGTGGCTTCCTGGGGCTCTGAGGATGGAGCAGGTGTTCCCTCTGTGGTGGTCAGAGGGGAGGGAGGTGTCCTAGAACCAGGCAGGAAGAAGGGAGCAGCAATGATAGGTGGAGGAGTCAGGTCTGTCCTCCCCTACCTGAGCGGGATTTGGGGTCCGGGGGTCCAGGCCTGACATGAACAAGGGGAAGATGCTGGGGCTGATGTTTATATCAGCCATAAAAAATTGGAAATTTCACGTTTATATTTCCAAATTGTAAGCCCATCTTTCTCATCTCAAATATGAATATATACGTAGTTACATATATACTTTAAAAACAAATATCTAAAGCCACGTATACATATGTATCTATAATCATTGTATTCATCTGTTCTCACACTGCTGTAAAGAACTACCTGAGGCCGGGCACGATGGCTCACGCCTGTAATCCCAGCACTTTGGGAGGCCGAGGTGGGCCGATCACCTGAGGTCAGGAATGAAAGACCAGCCTGGCCAACATGGCGAAACCCTATCTCTACTAAAAATACAAAAATTAGCTGGGCATGGTGGCGGGTACCTGAATCCCAACTGCCTTGGAGGCTGAGGCAGGAGAATCGCTGGAACCCAGAGGCAGAGGCTGCAGTGAGCTGAGATCGCACCACTGCACTCCAGCCTGGGGGACAGAGCAAGACTCCGTCTCAAAAACAAACAAACAAACAAACAAACAAAAACCTACCTGAGACTGGGTAATTTATAAAGGAAAGAGGTTTAATTAACTCACGGTTCCACAGGCCATACAGGAAGCCTGGCTGGGGAGGCCTCGGGAAACTTACAATCATGGCAGAAGGCGGAGGGAAAGCAGGAACTTCTTCTATGGCTGGAATAGGAGGAAGACAGAGAAGGGGGAGGTGCTACCCACTTTTAAATAACAAGATCTCGTGACAACTCACTATCATGAGAGCAGCCAGGGGGAAGCCAATCACCTCCCACTGGGCCTCTCCTCCAACATTGGGGATTACAATTCAACATGAGATTTGAGAGAGACACAAATGCAAAGCATGTTAATCACATATATTTTATAAACCATGTTAATCACATATATTTTATATGAATATATGTGCTATGTACATATATAGACACAAACATATATTCAAGTATTCAATCCTGTGCTTAATATTTTTCATCAGATTTTTAAATATTTATTTGTTTTTATTTTTTATTATTATTTTATTTTATTTTATTTTTTTTGAGACGGAGTCTCACTCTGTCGCCCAGGCTGGAGTGCAGTGGTGCGATCTCGGCTCACTGCAAGCTCCGCCTCTGGGGTTCACGCCATTCTCCTGCCTCATCCTCTCAAGTAGCTGGGACTACAGGAGCCCACCACCATGCCAGGCTAATTTTTTTTTTTTTGTATTTTTAGTAGAGATGGGGTTTCACCGTGTTAGCCAGGATGGTCTCAGTCTCCTGACCTTGTGATCCGCCCGCCTCAGCCTCCCAAAGTGCTGGGATTACAGGCGTGAACCACCGCGCCTGGCCTTTATTTTTTATTTTACTTTAAGTTCGGGTATGTTTTTAAATATTTGCTTTTCACCTTCCGATCTAGGTTCATACTTCAAAAAAGCAGAAATGATGTTTTTCTGTCCCACTTAGTCATTATCATTTAGAAAAGAATACATTTTCATATTTAAGTATATCACATTGTAGGTTTCCTAACTATATGAAGAATTAGTTAACAAGACATTAAATGGATGATGAAACCACAGGGGAGCTGTCTGAGGCGCACACAGTGGGGGCCATTGCAGCCTCCAGCCCTTGCTTGTGCTCCTGACTTCCAAGAGTGACTGAGGACCAACTCCTCATCCACAGAGACTGGGTCCTCATCCACTGAAAAATGGAAATTTCTGTCTCTGGGGGAATTAGTTGTTGTGTTCTTGTTGCACAAGATTGCACATCCAAGACAGCACACAAGAGCTCAATTCTTTCTAGTTGGGGGATCATTCTTCTTACTAATCCTGAGCTCCTGGGCTCAAGTAAACTTTGTTTCAAAGTGACTCAGGCACAAGATCTGAATTCCCAGAGCACAGAGAGGTTGAAAAACCCAATGACGTACCAGGGGAGGCCTGTGAGAGCAGAGAATGTGTTCACTAAGGATCTACATAAAGTCACACCATGAGAGGTGGAGGAATATAAGAATGCATTGCCCAGGGGAGAGGCTCTTCAGCTTCTCACCAACATCCTTATTCTTTGATTCTTAGGAGCAACTGAGACCCTCAATCCAGCACAAAAGAAGTCAGATTCCAAGACTGGTGAGTGAGGAGATTCTCCCAGTTATGGGGCTGGGCACAGAGGGTCAGGTCCTGTCAAGGGGAGGTGGGTACCCTGGGTGGACATCCAGGGGTCTTTGGTAATTGTGATCTGCCCTGACCTCTGTGACCTCTTTGTCCACCATCCCTAGCCCCACACCTCCAGGATTACACAGTGGAGAATCTCATCCGCATGGGTGTGGCTGGCTTGGTCCTGCTGTTCCTCGGGATTCTGTTATTTGAGGCTCAGCACAGCCAGAGAAGCCCCCCAAGGTGCAGCCAGGAGGCAAACAGCAGAAAGGACAATGCACCCTTCAGAGTGGTGGAGCCTTGGGAACAGATCTGATGATCTGAGGAGGTTCTGGAAGACTGGGGCAGCAGTTGGGGAAGTGTCTGCTGAGAATATCAAGGGGAAGAAGCATGGGTCAGGTGCAGGAAGATGTCTGGGTGTCTGTAGAAGATGCTTCCTCCATTAAACTGTGGTGCTTTCCTCCTCATTGTCGACTCTCCTTGACTGCCCCTTCCTTCGTTTTTCTTCCCTATGATGTAAGGCTTCACCCCTATGGTGGGTTTGGGTCCGCCCCTCTGTGACCTCATGCTCTGCTCCACTTTCAGGTAATACACCTTTCTTTATTTCTAACTACTGCATTTTCTAATGTGTATTACTGGGACTATCTCTTCAGCTCATAACATGGAATTTGCTTTTGATAATTAAATCCATGGGCAAAAATCAGATTCGTGTTTGGAAAATCTAAGTTCAAAGTGATGCTGTACCACCTGTCACTCTTCATCTGTAGTTTCTCCAGAGATACAGTCACTAGGAATCAAAAGAGAAGTGTTTGATGGAAAAGCCTGCTGTTGTGCGCATAGACTGGCTTCCTGAACAACAACAAAAAAGTTTTCTAAAAAGCATTTATTTGTGGAATTTGTTGATGACTGTGGTATAAACACTCCCTTCATGGGCACCTTCAAGATTCTCACATGACTGCACCTCCCCCTACCTGCTATCACACCGCAGTCGGAGCTGGTGGTCTTGGGTGAAAGGCCCTGACCCTGTCCTCTCTAAGTTCAAAGACTCAGCTCAGGCCCTGCCCCCAGGAGAGCTCTGGGCAGAGATGGAGTGAAGGGGGCTCTGAGGGAGGCTCAGCCACAGAGGAATTCACCCCTCAGAGGAGAAGAAGCCAACAGGAGTTCTCCCTCTTCTCCTTCACCTGGAGTCCAGAAGGTGCTAGGTGGGAAGAGGGAGGGTCTTGGAGAGGCCACTGGGCAGATGGAGAGGAGAGCTTTGAGTGGAGGTGGGGACTCCAGGATAGCTCCAATTCCTCACTCCCTTTCTGTGCTCCTTCCCAGGACCCTCCAGGGGCCCCAGCCCTCCACCCATAGGCTCCTTCTCCATACCTGGTGAGTCATTGAGGCCTCTGGGCTCAGAGGGAGGGTGGCCTCCCCCAGGGCAGTCCTGAGTCTCCCAGATGATCCCATTCCCCTCAAGGACTCAAGCACGAGCTTCCCTCCAGGGAGCTGAGGCAGAGCCAGAGGAGGGGCCACAGGCTCCCCGGGGCTCTGAGGCTGGGCTGGTGAGGGGCGGGGGTCGAGGCAGAGAGAGATGTTGGGGCGCAGCCTGGGGAGGAGCAGCCGGGCTGACGTGGGGAGCAGGGCAGCCCCAGCCCTCACCTCCCCATCCTGACCCAGCAGGCCCTGAGGACCAGCCCCTCACCCCCACAACGTCAGGCCCCCACAGTGCTAAGTGAGGGGCTTTGAGTGGGAGGTGGGCGGGGTCCAGGGGAGGAAGGGCTGAGTTCTGTCATCGGTTTGAGGCTCCTCTGGAGGTGGTGATGTGGACAGGCCCCTCCTCTGCCTGGGCCTCAGTTTCTCCAAGTGTAAAGGAGAGAGGCCTGCGGGTGGGAAAGTTCCTTTCAGCTCTGACTCCCAGCTGTGACCTCCTGGGAGAGGAGGCCTCCCAGGGAAACTCCCAGACCCGATTCCACAGGGGCCTGTCCTGTCCCACCTGCAGCAGAGACGGTGACCTGGGGCAGGGGAGGGGAGCAGAGGCTCATGTGTCCAGAGAGTCTGGGGTCCTCCTGAGCTCCCCCACCCAGGGAAAACCAGAGCCAGGCCCAGGGAAAAGCAGTTTCCCTTCCTGTGGGTCCACAGCTGTGGGTACCTGGACGGGCAGCAGCAGGCTCTGAGTGACCACATCCGTGTGTCTGTCTGTCCTGGAGGGCCCTGTGGTCTCCTCTCCCACAGCTGGAGCCCCCAGAGCAGGCATCACGGTGTTCGTGCTTCTCTGCCTCAGTCAGTGATGGAGGGAGAAGGGGCTACCAGGTTCTCCACGAGCCTCCCTCTTACTCCAGCCCCTGGGCTCTCAGGTTGGGGGGCACAGTTGTTCTGGGCTGAGGGTGATAAAACAGAGAGGGGTTTTGGACTAAACTAGAGAACCAGGAGTGAAAGAGATCTTGGGACCCAGCCTCTGGTTCCATTTCAGGGCCCTTCCCCAAACCCTCCCCATGGGCTGAGACAGGCTCTGTGATCACCTGGGAGAGGCCTGTGACCCTCTGGTGTCAGGGGAACCTGGAGGCCCAGGAGTACCGATTGGATAAAGAGGGAAGCCCAGGGCCGGTCGCGGTGGCTCATGCCTGTAATCCCAGCACTTTGAGAGGCCAAGGCAGGCAGATCATGAGGTCAAGAGATCGAGACCATCCTGGCCAACATGGTGAAACCCCGTCTCTACTAAAAATACAAAAATTAGCTGGGCGTGGTGGTGTGCACCTGTAGTCCCAGCTACTTGGGAGGCTGAGGTGGGAGAATCACTTGAACCCGGGAGGCGGAGCTTGCAGTGAGCTGAGACTGTGCCACTACACTCCAGCCTGGTGACAGAGCAAGACTCCAACTAAAAAAAAAAGAGGGGGCTGGGCGTGGTGGCTCATGCCTGTAATCCCAGCACTTTGGGAGGCTGAGACGGGCAGATCATGAGGTCAGGAGATCGAGACCATCCTGGCTAACATGGTGAAACCCTGTCTCTACTAAAAATACAAAAAATTAGGTGGGTGTGGTGGTGGGCGCCTGTAGTCCCAGCTACTCGGGAGGCTGTGGCAGGAGAATGGCGTGAACCCAGGAGGCGGAGCTTGCAGTGAGCCCAGATCACGCCGCTGCACTGCAGCCTGGGTGACAGAGCAAGACTCCGTCTCAAAAAAAAAAAGAAAAAAAAAAAAAAAAGAGGGAAGCTCAGTGTCCTGGGACAGACAGAGCCCACTGCAGCCTGGAGACAAGGCCGAGTTCCCCCATCATATCCATGACAAATGAATATGTAGGATGATATTACTGTCACTATTTCAGCCCCAGAGCTCACTGACTCCCTGGAGCTGGTGGTGATAGGTGGGAGGACACCTTGGGGTCCCAGCCCCAGGCTCTGCCCTCAGGAAAGGGGTCTGCTCTCAGGGGTGTCTCTCCCTCACAGCCCAGCCCTAAGGGATAAGGTGGGAGGCTTGAGCCTCAAGGATCACACTACCTCCTTCTCTCCTAGGATTCTACAGAAAATCTACCTTCTCAGCCCCCCTGAGCCTGTTGCAACTTTAGGAGAGGACTCTCCAGCGTGGCTCATGGCTGCAACTGGACAGATTCATTCTGACCGAGGAAGGAGAACTCAGTCTCTCCTGCACCCTAGACTCTCAGCAACACCCTAGTGGACAGTCCCAAGCTCTGTTTCCTGTGGGCCCCAAGACCCTCAGCCACAGATGGATGTTCAGATGTCATGGCAATAACAGGAACACCCTTCAGGTGTGGTCGGAACTCAACGACTCCCTGAAGCTCCTGTTCTCAGGTGAGGAAGTCAGAACACCCTTCAGGTGTGGTCGGACCTCAGCAACTCCCTGAAGCTCCTGTTCTCAGGTGAGGAAGTCCCATCTTTACCCCAAACATTCTTTGAAGCATCAGACAGGTTGCTGTGGATCTTGCTCCCAGGCAAGTCCCAAGCGTGAGGGTGGAATGAGGGGAACGAGGGCTTCTGGGGCCAGAGACACAGAGTATAAGTGATGGTGAGATCTGCAGAGCCAGGAGGACAAGGGATGTATTTGAGGGGAGTCAGCCCCCAAAGTCCTGACTTGTCTTTCCCTCTAGGTGTGTCTAGGACTCCCTGCACGGGACCAAACAGGGGCCCCTCCTAATCTCTGGAGAGAGTCTGACCTTCCAGTGTTGCTCTGATGTTGGCCACCAAGGACTTTTCCTGTCTGAGGAGAGGCGACATGACCACCCTGGCACCATGGCTGGCAGCCCCAGGCTGGGCTCCGTCAGGCTGACGTTTCCTTGGAGTGGCTCCCATGGGAGCCAGGACAGATGCTGTGCTAAACGCAACGTCTTTTCTTTTCTTTTCTTGTTTTGTTTTGTTTTTGTTTTTTTGAGATGGAGTTTCGCTCTTGTTGCCCAGGCTGGAGTGCGTGGTACGATCTCAGCTCACTGCAACCTTCACCTCCTGGGTTCAAGTAATTCTCCTGCCTCAGCCTCTCAAGTACCTGGGATTACAGGCATACACTACCATGCCTGGCTAAATTTTTTTTTTTTTTTTTGTATTTTTAGTAGAGACTGGGTTTTGCCATGTTGGCCAGCCTGGTCTTGAACTCTTGACCTCAGGTGATCCACCCACCTCGGCCTCCCAAAGTGCTGGGATTACAGGCGTGAGTCACCGCACCGAGCCCACAATGTCTTTTCTGATTGTTTGGTCCCCTGAATCCCCTGGATATGCTATTGCAGGTGAGGGGTCCAGCAGGTTCACTCAGGGACCCAGATTCTGCACAGGGCCTGCTGGGGATCTGCAGGCGGTGATGACCAGCATGATGAGTGTATTAGTCTGTTTTCTTGCTGCTGATAAAGACATCCCCAAGACTGGGTGATTTATAAAGAAAAAGAGGTTTAATGGACTCACAGTTCCATGTGGCTGGGGAGACCTCATAAGCATGGTGGAAGGTGAAAGGCACATGGTGGCAGACAAGAAAGAAATGAGAGCCAAGTGAAAGGGGTTTCCCCTTATAAAACCATCAGATCTCGTGAGACTTACTACCAGGAGAACAGTATGGGGGAAACCACCCACCGCCTCCACGATTCAATTATCTCCCACCAGGTTCCTCCCACAACACGTGGGAATTATGGGAGCTACAATTCAAGATGAGATTTGGGTGGGGACACAATCAAACCATGTCAATGGATAAGGTTCTTTAGAGAGGGAAAGAGACAGAGGGGCAAGGTGGATGGGAGGGAGAGGAAGAGACTCAGAGGAAACAGTGAATGACAGAGAGACTGAGGGTCCTAGAGAGAAGCCCTGGGAAGGTCTCTGCTCAGAACAAGGTGGGGGCAGCCCCTCACCCATCCTGCCTCTCTCTAGGACAGGTGCCTGAGGGATATTCCCTGTTGGTGCAGCCGGGCTCCATGGTGGCCTCAGGAAAGAACATGGTCCTGCTACATCAGTGACACTTTTCTTATTTCCAAGAAGGGAGCAGCAGATCCCTACCTTTGTGTCTAATATCAAAGTACCAAGCTCAGCAGTACAGGCTGAATTCTCCATGAATGCTGGGAGGACCTACAGGTGCTATGTCTTATAGAGTACCTCCCCCTACCTGTTTTCACACCCCAGGGACCCCCAGGGTTTGTGGTCTCAGGTAAGGAGATCCTACCCCATGAGCACTGAGGCTGGAATGAGACATGTGTGAACATATGAGAAAATGTGTTTAGAACTTCATGTTCATAACACAGCTTTGGATCACAAGGTCAGGAGATCGAGACCATCCTGGCCAACATGGTGAAACCCCATCTCTACTAAAATACAAAAAATTAGCCGGGCGTGGTGGTGCACGCCTGTAGTCCCAGCTACTCGGGAGGCTGAGGCAGGGGAATCGCTTGAACCCAGGAGGCGGAGATTGCAGTGAGCCGAGATCGCACCAGTGCACTCCAGCTTGGTGACAGAGTGAGACTCCATCAAAAAAAAAAAGAAAAAAGAAAAATTCCTAAATTGTATATACTTATTGTGTAAAGTATGTAGTTTTGAAATATATATACTTGTCTGTTGGGCAAATCAATCTAATTAACATATACATTACTTTCCATATTTCTAATTTTTGTGTGGTAAGAACCCTTAAAATCTACTTTTATAGTGATTTTTAAGGATATAATACACTGTTATGTCTTCCGAGATGGTGAAAATACCAAAATGGTGTGTAGAGATTCATTCTGCATTCTTGTATCCAAGAAAGAACATGGGAGGTGATATGGTTTGGCTGTGTCCCCACCCAAATCTCATCTTGAATTGTAGCTCCCATAATTCCCACGTGCTGTGGGAGCCGGTGGGAGATAACTGAATCATGGAGGCAGTTTCTCCCATTCTGTTCTTGTGGTCGTGAATAAGTCTCAGAAGAGCTGATGATTTTATAAGGGGTTTCCCCTTTTGCTTGGCTCTCATTTCCTCTGTACCTGCCACCACGTGAGATGTTGCTTTCACCTTCCACCATGATTGTGAGGCCTCTGCAGCCATGTGGAACTGTGAGTCAATTAAATCTCTTTTTCTTATAAATTACCTGGTCTCGGGTATGTCTTTATCAGCAGCCTGAAAATGGACTAATACAGGAGTTGAATATGAAAGTGAAGGAAATCTCAGATACTGCTAAAAAGAAGGCAGGCAGCAGCTCATGCAGCAAGACCTGGCAGAAAACCATGAGTGAACTTCCAGTGCCTGAGAGGGAAGTTATGAGACCACATGATACCCATTCTCAGTGGGGAGCCAGGCAATCCAGGCCACTGGGGAGCTCTTTGACCGACCTAAGCCCTGGATCTGACTTAGGGAACAGCGGGAGGACTGTGAAAAGGAAGGGCCCAGGGAAGTGCTCCATGTGTGCTCCCAGACCTGGATGCTGACAGAAAGAGGCCATTCCTGATCCTAACCCTTAGTGGGCAGTGCAAGAACTTGACATCGGCCCGGCGCGGTGGCTCACGCCTGTAATCCCAGCACTTTGGGAGGCCGAGGCAGGCGGATCACGAGGTCAGGAGATCGAGACCATCCTGACTAACACGGTGAAACCCCGTCTCTACTAAAAATACAAAAAATTAGCTGGGCGTGGTGGCTCATGCTTGTAATCCCAGCACTTTGGGAGGCCGAGGCAGGCGGATCACGAGGTCAGGAGTTCAAGACCATCCTGGCTAACACGGTGAAACCCCGTCTCTACTAAAAATACAAAAAATTAGCCGGGCACGGTGGTGGGTGCCTGTAGTCCCAGCTACTCGGGAGGCTGAGGCAGGAGAATGGCACGAACCTGGGAGGCGAAGCTTGCAGTGAGCTGAGATCACGCCACTGCACTCCAGCCTGGGCGACAGAGCGAGACTCCGTCTCAAAAAAAAAAAAAAGAACTTGACATCAAACATGGGTGAGGGTCACTACTTCGGAGAGTCTTGGGCCAGAGATTGACAATCTGGGCTCAAGTAGAAGACAGGTCCCCATGGACAGAACTGAGAGGCAATTGTGGCATGGGCTCCAGACACCAAGCACTGGCGTTGGACACCTCTCTTTGACAGAACCGAGGGGGAAAAGTTGTAGCCTGAGAGGCATGGATTTTACCCAGGAGGCAAGATCTGTGGCCTGGGGTAGTTGAGTGGTCTGACATCAAACCGCATGTGATTTGACGGTCTGAAATTGCTTCCAGCATTGGGCCACAGGGAGGAGCTCTGCTGGGTTGGGAGCATTAGATTAAAGTGAGTCCCACTGTCATTTTCTAGGCTTGGAACCCAACGTGCCCCTCTGGGGAACTCTGCTGTAACTTTGGCATAATAGTCATTGCCCTACTCAGTGCTTGAGTGTCTCTCCAGGGACCTGAGAACCACACATGTAGCCTCTGTGGGGACGGAGCCTGTGCCTAGCATTGGGCCTGAGTACAGGCTTGCCTGGACCAGCCACACTTACCTTCATTTCCCTGCGTTGGAGGCAGAGTACTGATCAAGACCACTGAGTTTTCCACAACCCAACCCATCACTTAGGATACCTGAATGCTTCTGGTTAACAAAGGTCAAGCATAAAGCCCACTGCCAGCGCTACAACTGGCTCTCACCAGCAATTGCCACCTACTGGCCTGGAGGTCAAACCATACAGCACATTACAACGTCTCCTGAAACAAGTGACAGTGATTGGGGAAGAGACAAGTTTCACACAAACTCTGCCACCACCATTGCCCACGCCACCCCAGCTACACCTCTCCTTTGCAGAACCGCTTGAGGAAAGGCTAAACCTTTCTGCAAAGGAGAGGTGTCTAATTCCAGTGCTCGGGGTCTGGAGCCCATGCCACACTTGCCCCTCAGTTCTGTCTGTGGGGACCTGTCCCCTACTTGAGACCAGATTGCCAAGGAGGAGGCCTTAAGTTAACTTGCCTGCTCTGTCACCTACCTGAGCCTGGGAAGGTTGAGGCTGCAGTGATCCAAGATCGTGCCACTGCACTCCACCCTGGGTGACAAAGTGAGACCCTGTCTCAAAAAACAAAAACAAAAAAACTGCTCTGACCTTTTCAAAAGTATCAAGGTCAAGAACAAAGATAAACAAAGGCACCACGCAGTGGAGTAAGAGCCTGTCTATTGCCTATTGCTCTCAAGCGCCATCTACTGGATTACAGCCACACTACAACACCAAAAATCACTTTACTAAATTCTACCGCCTGGAAAACCAAGAGCAAGAATTCAGCAAAGACCCTGTACAGAGCCTTAGTCCCCTGAAAACTTCCAGAAATAAAGCCAACAGACTATACTCAATTTATACCCTTGCAATGAAAGGAATAGCAACCCTCCCAGATGAGAAAAAAAATCAGGGAAATAACTCCTATTATCTCCAAACCAGTCCACGAGCTCCCCAGAAATTGTTCTTAATCAGTATGAATTGTCTGAAATGACAAACGTAGAATTTGGAATCTGGATGGCAAGGAAGGTCATTCAAATCAAGAGCAAAGTTGAAATTCAATCCAAGGAAGCCAAGCAATCCAGTAAAATGATTAATGACATGAACGATTAAATTTTAAGAAACACCCAAACTGAACTTCTCGAGCTGAAAAATTCATGACACGAATTTCATAATACGATGAGAAGCATTAACAGCAGAATAGACCAAGCTGAGGAAAAGAATTTCAAAGCTTGAAGACTTGTTTGAATCAAATCAGTCAAATATAAGGAAAAAATATTTTTAAAAGTGAACAAAATCTCTGAGAAATATGATATTATCTAAAGACACCAAATGTATGACTTGTCAGCATTCCTGAAAGGGGAAGAGAGAATAAGCAACTTGGAAAATATATTTGAGGATATAGTCCATGAATATTTTCCTAAACTCGCTAGAGAGTTTGACACACAAATCCAAGAAACATAGAGACGCCCAGCCAGATAACGGTCTAGATTTGAGGGTATGGTGAAAAAGATGCTTAGAAAATGTCAGAAGTGAGACACAATGGCTCATTTGCTTGTGTCTTGCATTCTCCACCTTGCAATTCTGTACTGATGGCTGTACTATCAGCAGGATCCACTCGTTATTATATTCACTATCAACCTTCAGCCTAAGGGTTTTGTCAGCCATTGATGTTTATTGCTTGTATACTCAACGCACAGGTTATCCAAGCTTTGCAGGGTTAACTATTATTATGCAAAAACTCTACAGCTATTCTTAGGCAAAAACATTACTATAGCTATTACTATACTTATTATTATGTAGAAACATTCTACAGAAAAGAATGTTTCCTGTGTAACACTTCAGATAAACAAAAGAGATCTTGCTTCTTGCCTTCATTTCCACGTTTTTGATGTGGAGATTTTGTTCTTTTCCCATTCCTCATATTTGAGGGGTTTTTTGTTTTTTAATTTTGTTTTTAACAGTAGTAAACTGATAGGCTTTGAACATATTCATTAGTTTTAATACACTACCTATATTATTTGATTCTATAAATATTCCACATTTTGCCATTGGGAACTTTTCATGATAGACTTTATGTTCAGGTAACATGAATCTGATGGTATGTGGTGATGTCTTTGCTTTCTTGCATGATAAGAAGTTCTGACTTCATCTCCTGTATTTTCTCTCCGAATGTGGAGTCAGCTATTTCTCTAGGATGAAATTTAGAATTTTTGACCATACATATTTTAAGAATTAAACATTTTTGAGGGTGTATTCACTTATGTTTTACTATATATAGTCAAAATTATATAATAATATTAACTATATGTCACTACATAATATATAATTTGATTTAAAAGTATACATTTATTATATAATATGATAAATAATATATGCATTATAAAATATATGGTCAAGTAATTTTGCTTACATTCTAGTACAAATAATTCTTCCTTGTTTAGTAATGCCCTAATTTGATAGGAACTCAATTCTATTTCCTTTTTTAAGGTATTATCTTTAGATTTATAAGTTATATTTAAAAATATTTTATAGTATAGACATTCAGGAATATGTTTATATATGTATATATATATATTTTTAAACGGAGTCTTGCTCGTCGCCCAGGCTAGAATGCTGTGGGTGGCAAGCCACCCAGGTGCCGAGGCAAGAGACAGAGGACACGAGCTGTTCCAGTATAATAAAATATAAAACAAGAATAGTTATACCAGATATAGATCTTAGTTATGATTATATATGAATATCATTAATCATTTGTTTGTAGCAGTTACCCTTTATCCCAATATTATAATAATCCTCCCTCTGTAATCATAACCTAGGAAAAGCCAGGCCATACAGAGATAGGAGCTGAGGGGACACAGTGAGAAGTGACCAGAAGACAAGAGTGCGAGCCCTCTGTCATGCCCGGACAGGGCCACCAGAGGGCTCCTTGGTCTAGCGGTGACGCCAGCGTCTGGGAAGACGTCCGTTGCCAAGCGGACCGTGGTCTAGCGGTAGCGTAAGTGGCAAGGAACAACACCCGCTACTTAGCAGACTGGGGAAGGGAGTCTCCCTTTCCCCGGGGGAGTTTAGAGAAGACTCTGCTCCTCCACCTCTTGTGGAGGGCCTGACATCAGTCAGGCTCGCCCGCAGTTATCCGGAGGCCTAACCGTCTCCCTGTGATGCTGTGCTTCGGTGGTCACGCTCCTAGTCCGCCTTCATGTTCCATCCTGTACACCTGGCTCTGCCTTCTAGATAGCAGTAGTAAATTAGTGAAAGTACTAATAGTCCCTGATATGCAGAAATAATGGCGTAAGCTGTCTTTCTCTCTGTCTCCTCTCCCTCTCTGCCTCGGCTGCCAGGCAGGGAAGGGCCCCCTGTCCAGTGGACACGTGACCCACGTGACCTTACCTATCATTGGAGGTGACTCACACTCTTTACCCTGCCCCTTCTGCCTTGTATCCAATAAATAACAGCGCAGCCCAACATTCGGGGCCACTACCGGTCTCCGCGCATTGGTGGTAGTGGTCCCCCGGGCGCAGCTGCCTTTTCTTTTATCTCTTTGTCTTGTGTCTTTATTTCTACACTCTATCGTCACCACACACAGGGAGAGACCCACCGACCCTGTGGGGCTGGTCCCTACAAATGCAGTGGCACAGTCTCAGCTCACTGCAATCTCCACCTCCCAGGTTCAAGCAATTCTCCTGTCAGAGCCTCCCGAGTAGCTGGGATGACAGGAGTGTGCCACCATGCCCAGCTAATCTTTTTATTTTCAGTAGAGGTGGGGTTTCACCATGTTGGCCAGGCTGGTCTTGAACTCCTGATCTTGCGATTCGCCCACCTCAGCCTCCCAAAGGTATGTTTATATTTCTATACCAAAACAAGAAACAAGACACAATGATGTCAGTCTAGCTTTATTCTGTCTCCTCTGCACTGTTTTCTCTCTCTCTCTCAACTACCCACTTTTAAAGGTATTGATTAATCTTTCATTTTAAAAAATAGATTACAAAATACACACACAATGACATAACACTATACCATTTTTCTCTGGTTCTGAGTAAAATAAAGTTAACTGTTGATAACGTCCTGAATCTTTCTTTTTCTTTTCTCCCTGCCACCCCAACTACACAACTACACGTCTTGGAAGGTCAGCCTTCAAGATAACTCATTCATCTCACCCACAGCTGCCCAGGACTCCACTGTGGGGAGGCCCAGGAATTTATTGAGTCTTTCTTTGATTGAAATTAAGTGGGTTCAAGTCATTGTAGTTTTACAAATCATAATTTTGGAATAAATAGCTTTGTAATTGTACAAGTTTGTTCTTAATGTTTGTATTCACCTGGAATAATGAGTTTCGTGAGAAAAAGGCATTTTCTGGGTGTCAGGCCTCTGAGCCCAAGCTAAGCCATCATATCCCCTGTGACCTGCACATACACATCCAGATGGCTGGTTCCTGCCTTAACTGATGACATTCCACCACAAAAGAAGTGAAAATGGCTTGTTCCTGCCTTAACTGATGACATTATCTTGTGAAATTCCTTCTCCTGGCTCATCCTGGCTCAAAAGCTCCTCTACGGAGCACCTTGTGACCCCCACACCTGCCCACCAGAGAACAACCCCTCTTTTTCCTTTACCTACCCAAATCCTATAAAATGGCCCCACCCCTATCTCCCTTCGATGACTCTCTTTTTGGACTCAGCCCACCTGCACCCAGGTGATTAAAAGCTTTACTGCTCACACAAAGCCTGTTTAGTGGTCTCTTCACACGGAAGCGCATGAAACCGGGTACAGTGAAAACACTCAATTGTATTTTTCAGTCTACAGATTCCTCTGATGAAAATAGAATCAAACTCCAACATCTCCTCTAAATGGAGATGGTTTCTGTTAACTTAAATTGGAGTATTACCTTTCTCATTCAGACCGCTGCTGGAATCCTTGGAAATTCTCTACTCCTTTACTTTTATAGCTTTACTTTTGTCCCCACACAAATAGTGAGACCCAGAGACCTGATTCTCAGCCAGCTGGTCTTAGCCAACAACCCGGTTCTTTTCTCTAAAGGGATCCCTCAGACAGTGGCGGCTTTTGGATTGAAACCTTTCCTGGATGAGGCTGGATGTAAACTTGTCTTCTACCTACACAGAGTGGCCAGAGGGGTTTCCCTCAGCACCACCTGCCTCTTCAGTGGCTTCCAGGCCATGAAGCTTCACCCCAGTATCTCTGGGAAGATGGAACTCTGAATTAGATCCCCAAAGTTTATAGTTTTCTGCTGTTTCCTCTGTTGGATCTTGAATCTTGTTGTAAATATTTATACTGCAAAGTAAATAACTGACCCAATAAAGAGCAAAAACATGAGTATGGAAAAAATGTATAGATACTGCTCCTCACCCTATCCAGGAAGATCGCTGTATGTAATAGTTGCAGTCATTTACTGCTGCACAGATGGTATATGTGTCTCCCGTATATGTGTCTCCCTCATGATCTGCACCAGCAGCTCCATGGTCCTCGTCCTGCATAGATACAAGCAGAGAGTCCAACATGTTCGCAGCCGCAACCTCTCCCGCAGAACATCTCATGAAACCACAACCACACACACCATCCTCATCCTGGTGAGCATGTTTGTCTCCTCTCATGCTCTAGCTGATATTTTGTCATTGTGCGTAACCCAGATTCAGAATCCAAGCCAATGGCTGAGAAGTACCTCTTTCCTGGCGTCTGCAGGATTCCCGACATTCAGCCCCTTTGTGTTCATTGTCAGTGACGCCCGAGTGTCACGGTTCTACTTTGTGTGCTAGATAAGGAAGAGAAATGCCCCAGGTATGGTCTCTGGGCTATAAATTGCCTCCAGACCATTGCATCCTCTATTTAATCACTTCCTCCACCCCGGTGTTTGAAGGCTCACACATCAGGCCTGTGAAGGTACACCCACACGCTGCCCTGGCCATTCAGAATCCCCAAACCTCCCACTCTGGGGTATGCAAGTGCACAGCAAAGACTCCACTTGGGAGCAATTATGCAACAGCTTGTATTCAAGTAATCTCACATGAAATAACATTAAAATGAAATTAAGTATAATAAAACCCAACATCTGGACAGAGTTTATTTTTGGAAGAAGTTTAATCAAAGGCAGCCATAAGCATGTAAATAAATTCCAACTCATTTACTCATTGTAAATTATTTTTATTTGTAACATTTATTTGTAAAAATTATTTGTAAACTCATTGTAAATTAAAATATTAAATTTACAATGGACATGCAAAAAAAGACTTGTAAATAAATGCATTATGTAGTAATACTAATTTCTTTATTGGGTCTCAAAGGAAACTTTTAACTTAAGACACTTTTATTTTACCAACAAATAACAATATTTCTCTCAGAATTATTCTTTGTAACACCACAACGGCTGTAACCCATCCAACTTCACTCAAAGAAAGTGAAGTAAGTGCTCTAAAGAAAAAAATATCCTGGCCGGGCACGGTGGCTCACACCTGTAATCCCAGCACTTTGGGAGGCCAAAGCAGGTGGATCACCTGAGGTGAGGAATTCGAGACCAGCCTGACCAACAGGGTGAAATCCTGTCTCTACTAAAAATACAAAAATTAACTGGGCGTGGTGGCTCATGCCTGTCATCCAGCTACTTGGGAGACTGAGACAGGAGAATCACTTGAACATGGGTAGCAGAGGTTGCAGTGAGCTGAGGTCAGGCTGTTGCACTCCAGCCTGGGTGACAGAGCGAGACTCCATCTCAAAGTAAAAGAAAAGAAAAAGATGAGAGAAGCTCATACCTTCAGAACTGAAACATAGGGAAAGAGGAAGCAGAAATTAAAGCAAATCGAAATTTCATTGCGTCATACGGTCAGGAAGGCAACGAAACAAAAGTTTGCAGAAGGGCTAAAAGTCACTGTCAGGAACTGCATTAACGTCATTACATTTAGGGTTTTTTGTGGGTTTTCTTTTTAGATTTTAGCAAAAAATTCATGAAGCAACTCTAAAATACTTATACTTCAATATGGTAAATTAAATTTATATTAGGACTTCAAATATAATCTTTTCCTCTCTGTTCTGAGTGTCATGCTTGTGACATTGATAGAAGGTGGACTCTAGGCAATAAAAGAAAAAATTCAATTTTTTACTGATAAATTCAGGTACAATAACCGCCTGTTATTTTATTGTGGACCATTTTTTCTCTTTTTTTTTTTTTTGAGACGAAGCTTCTCTCTGTCGCCTAGGCTGGAATGCAGTGGCACCATCTCGGCTCACTGCAACCTTCACCTCCTGGGTTCAAGTGATTCTCCTGCCTCAGACTCCCCAGTAGCTGGGATTACAGGTGCCCACCATCATGCCCGGCTAATTTTTAATTTTTAATAGAGATGGGGTTTCACCATGTTGGCCAGGCTTGTCTCGAACTCCTGACCGCAGGTGATCTGTCCGCCTTGGCCTCACAAAGTGCTAGGATTACAGGCGTGAGTCACCGCACCTGGCCCATTTTCTCTTCATGATAATTCATGAGTAGCTGGGATTACAGGCACCCACCACCATGCCCAGCTAAGTTTTTGTATTTTCAGTAGAGACGGTGTTTCACCATGTTGGCCAGGCTGGTCTCAAACTCCTGACCTCAGGTGATCCACCCGCTTCGGCCTCCCAAAGTTCTGAGATTACAGGCGTGAGCCACCTCACACGGCTTTATTGTTGTTGTTGTTTTTAATGTTACTCTATTTTTTTAGATTCAGGCGCTACACGCGCAGGTTCCTTACATGGATGCATTGCGTTCTGGTGGGGTTTAGGTGTCTAGTGCTCGCATTACCCATACGGCTCACCAGATATTACGGGGGAGGCAGAGGGGACACTCCCCCATCCCCAAAAGCCTAAATAACATCAAAAATCTTCCACATGGGGCCCAGGTGAAGGTCTCTGCAGGATCCCCCAGCTTGGGTGGGCTCAGCTGTCACCCAGGGGTCCGGTGCGGGGACTGGTAACCCATGGGCCTGTCGGTTGGAGCGGGGGTCTCACCTGCTTGCCCATCGCTGAGCTCCACCACTATCCAAGGAAAGATGAAGGCGCCAAAAGCAAAGCCTTTGGTTAGTGTGACAGCTCTGCAGTATTAGCAGCTGTTTACTGTTACAGCCTGTGTGACCGCTCTTGGAGCCCTGATCACAGACTGCCCCGCCCCGCTGTCTCTCCGACTGTCTCAGCAACCTCTCGCTGTCTAGCCCAGTGCCACCTCTCCGTGTCTTTCACCCATTGCCACCCCTCCGCTGATCACTGTCACCATCTCTGCTGTCTAGCCATCTCGCCTCTCTCCTAATTGTCCCTGCCTCTGCGGAAAGTCTCTCTGCCTCTCACTCGCTGTCTCCGTCATCCCTTCCTGGTAACTAGATGATGCGGGGAAGGGGAGCTCCCAAATCGGGGCATAGCCCAGAAGAGTTCTTGGCTTTGCCTAAGAAAGAATTTAGGCCGGTCGCGGTGGTCCACACCTGTCATCCCAGCACCTTGGAAGGCTGAGGCGGGCAGATCATTTGAGGTCAGGAGTCTGAGACCAACCTGGCCAACACGGTGAAACCCCGTCTCTACTAAAGACTACAAAAATTAGCAGGGTGTGGTGGCTGGTGCCTGTAATTCCAGCTACTTCGGAACCGAGGCAGGAGAATCGCTTGAACTCCGGAGGCAGAGATTGCAGCGAGCCGAGATGGCGCCATTGCACTTCAACCTGGGTGACAGAGTAAAACTCTATCTCAAAAACAAAAAAAAAAGGAATTTAAGGGTGAGCTGGTGTTACACAACCCCTTAAGGGTTACGGCAACCTCTAGTCAAGTGGCCGAGCACAGCAGCAGCAGAGGTACTGCTCCTAGGGTGGCAGGGCTGCCCCACAGGCGGTGTGCCCAGAATAGCAGCTCAGAAACACACCTGCAGCCACTCTTGTACCTGCTTTTAATTATATGCAAATTAAAGGTCAGGTATGCAGAAATTCCTAGAAAAAGGGCGGTAACTTCCGGTCAGTGGGTCTTTGCCGTGGAAAAGGGCGGTACCTTCCGGGGGTTGCCATGGCAACGGTAAACCGGGATGCCACACTGGTGGGCGTGTCTTAAGAAGAGCTGCTTCCACCCTCTGCCCTGTTTTAGCTAGTTCTCAATCTGGTGTGGTGTCTGAGTCCCCGCCTCCAAAGTCCCACATCCTACCTCAGAACTTCTGAGAAAGCCTTTTCCCCTTCCGCCCTGGCCTTTCCCATCCGAATAAGAAGGAGCTGCCTGGAAGTGACCCCCAAAGCCCTTTCATTTCTGACCTTCTGGGGCATCTGGGTTGCGGCTCATCCTAGACCTGCTGCCGTCCCCCAGCCCTCCCTTGGCCTGGTCAGCTCCTACCAATAACTGTGTGTTGCAAGGGTTAGAAAGCCAGGAGAGGCAGCTGCAGGTACATGTAATTGTAATTGTATCCATCAATGTTGGGGTCTGAGATTCGTGAGATGAAGCCACAGTATTAGGAGAAAGCAAAGATTTGTAAAAACCCCACTGTTTAGAATCTCCCCTCTCTCACACATCACACACTGTTTCAGATTTTCTACTAAAAGCAACACCCAGCACAGCTGTGCATGACTCCCAGGCCCCTACCCTGTCCTGCAGGATATGTGATGAGCAGAGGAAGGAGAGCAGGCTGGATCAGGAGGATTTGGGGTCCAGCCAGACTCAGACATGGGGAAGACGCTGGGGCTGATGGAGGAGGAAGAGAGGCAAGCAAGTTGGAGAGAGGACAGATGGACGCTCCCTTGGGAGCTCTTATTTCTCATTTCCAAGAGCCCCTGAGGATGAAGCCCCTCACCCACACATGCGGGGTCCCTGGGTCCTCTTATGACAGGACAGGAGGCTGCTCGGGCCTCGGTGGGATCTGACTGGGATGAGGCTGGGGTCCGCCCCAGACCTGCTCCTTTAGAGAGAAGCACCCCACTTGTGGGTGCACCTCACACCGCCCCTCCTGTGCTCACCTGAAGGCCTCTGTGCTCAGGGAACCCCTGAGAGTAAGGAGGGGCCACGCACCTGCTCCCTGGATGAGTTAGGGAGTTATTCACAGCGCGGCTTGTGTGTCATTCATTTCTACCCTGCCTTTTCTGTGCACACTTGTCTATTGTTACTCTCTGTTCTTCTGAAACATTTAAAGCAATACATGAATATATAAACTTATCATTTTAATTTGGGACATGATTTCATTTATATATTTGCTTTAGAAAATAGTTTCTTATTTATGTTAAGTTTTCCTATCCTAAACTTTTAAAATTGAGGTTTATTGATGAACTTAAGAAGTGTCTTGAAATTTTATTTATAAGAATTTTATATATTTATTTCAATTTAAACAATTATTCAATCACTTGAATAATCTGTAAATGAGGTCTTTGATTCCTTATAAATAAAAGCTAGGTATACATGATACAGTAATTGGTTTGAGTTCATTTACTTTATTTTATACCAACTTACTACAGAATTTCTTAATTCCAATTATTTTCAATTGATCCCCTCTAATTTACTAATAAAATGTACATAACTCACACAAAAGTTGAAATTTCACTTTATTTCTAAATTGCATTCCAATTGCTGTCTCCCAGGCTGGAGTGCAGTGGCGTGATCTCGGCTCACTGCAAGCTCCACCTCCCGGGTTCACGCCATTCTCCTGCCTCAGCCTCCCGAGTAGCTGGGACTACAGGTGCCCGCCACCACGCCTGGCTAATTTTTTGTGTTTTCAGTAGAGACAGGGTTTCACCATGTTAGCCAGGATGGTCTCGATCTCCTGACCTTGTGATCCACCCGCCTCAGCCTCCCAAAGTGCTGGAATTACAGGCGTGAGCCACCGCGCCGGGCGGATTATTCTCTAGTTCTTTTAGTTGTGATGTTAGGTTGTTAATTTGAGATCACCCATCACCACACCTGGCTAATTCTTTTGTATTTTTAGCAGAGACGGGGTTTCACCATGTTGGCCAAGCTGGTCTTGAACTCCTGACCTCGTAATCCACCTGCCTCAGCCTCCCAAAGTGCTGGGATTAGAGGCGTGAGCCACTGCAACTGGCCTATATGTCTATTTTTATACCAGTGTCATGCTCTTTTGGTTACTATAGCCTTGTAAACTTTGAGTCAGTTAATGTGATGTCTCTAGCTTTGCTCTTTTTGCTTAGGATTGCTATGGCTGTTTGGGCTCTTTTTTTGGCTCAATATAACTTTTAAGGTTTCTTTTTCTAAGTCTGTGAAAAATGAAGGTATTTTTGTAAGGACTGCATTAAATCTGTAGATTGCTTTGGGCAATGTGGTCATTTTAATCATAGTAATTATTCTGATTTATGAGAATGGGATGTTTTTCCATCTGTTTGTGTCTTCTACAATTTCTTTCATCACTGGTTTGAAGTTTTCCTTGTAGAAATCTTTCACCTCCTTGGTTAAATATATTCCCAGGTGTTTTATTTTTGTGCACCCACTGTCCATGGGATTGCCTCCTTGACTTGGTTCTCAGCTTCGTCATTATTGGAGTACAGAAATGCTACTGATTTCTGTACTTTGATTCTATATCCTGAAACTTTACTGCATTTCTTTATCAAATCTAAGAGTGTTTTGGCTGAGTCTTTAGGGTTTTTGAGGTATAAGATAATATCATCAGCGAACAGAAATAATTTCACTTTTTTTTTTTCCAATTTAGATGTGTTTTATTTCTTTGTCTTGCCTGATTGCTCTGGCAAGGACCTCCAGTACTACGTTGAAGAGTGGTGACAGTGCACATCTTTGTCATGCTCCAGTTCTTAGGGGGAATGCTTTCTATTTTTCCCTGTTTGCGATATTGGCTGGGATTTCGTCACCTATCGCCTTTAGTATTTTGAGGTATGTCCCTCTGTACCTTGTTTGTTGGGAATTTTTATCATGAAGGGATGCAGGATTTTATCAAATGCTTTTTCTGCACCTCTGTGACATAATCATAGAGACTGAAACCAGAATCCTCTCATGTCCCAACCCCTCATGTCTTAATCTAGTCTAGACATTAACCGTGATTGAGCCTCTCCCATGACCCAAGCACGGCTGACCCCCACATCCGCTGTGATGAGTGAGGTTCATGACAACAGGCTCCACACAGGGAAACTGAGGCTCAGAGATGAGACAGTACTGCCCAAGATCACACAAGCCGTAGATAATAATCGGGAATTACATAGAAATCAACTCCCCACCAGCCGGGCGCAGTGGCTCACGCCTGTAATCCCAGCACTTTGGGAGGCCGAGGTAGGCGGATCATGAGGTCAGGAGATCGAGACCATCCTGGCTAACATGGTGAAACCCTGTCTCTAATAAAAATACAAAAAAATTAGCCGGGCGTGGTGGCGGACGCCTGTAGTCCCAGCTACTCGGGAGGCTGAGGCAGGAGAATGGTATGAACCCGGGAGGTGGAGCTTGCAGTGAGCCGAGATAGCGCCATTGCACTCCAGCCTGGGCGACAGAGCGAGACTCGGTCTCAAAAAAAAAAAAAAGGAAAGAAAGAAAGAAAGAAAGAAATCAACTCCCCACTCAGCAAACCAGAGCCCAAACCTAAGTAATGTACCCACAAAAATTAAAAAATAAATAGATACATAAGAATGAAAATTTTAAAACAAAGCCTAAGTAATTACTCCGAAAATGTTGAACATGGATTGAGGTATAGAGGGAAGCCCAAAGAAACAGAAGGCACAGTGGAGGCAGAAAAGATTCAGAGGTTTGTTACTGGAGGTGGGGTGGAGGTGGACGCTGTTGCAAAAAAAAAAAAAAAAAAAAAAATTAAGGGAAGTACAAGAAAGAGAGTACTATTGGTTAGAAAGAAAACACTCCAGGGCCACTAAAGGGTCATGATTTCCTCCCCTATTTCCCTGCATTTCTCCTCTGTGCTCATTGCCACATGCAGCTCAGCCTGGGCTACACAGCCAGGTGTCAGATGTGTCTCTGCTGATCTGAGTCTGCCTGTGGCATGGACCTGCATCTTCCCTGAAGCATCTCCAGGGCTGAAAAATCACTGACCATGGTAAGGACCCCGCAACGCTGAGCTCATGGACGGGCTGAAGGAGGGAGGGAGACCCCATGGGGAGGCTCTGAGAGGGAGGAGGTCACCCTCGCCTGAAAGGGGCTGACTCAGGAAGGCACCGGGTCTATTTGCTGCTGTGTCCCGGCTCTCAGTGAGATAAAGATAAATCAGGCAGACAGTGGCCCGGGGAAGGGAGACCCCACTTCTGTCTGAAATGTCTGCAGAGAGCCTGGTGCCTGTAGTCTCAACTACTTCACTTCAGCCCTGGGGAAATGAGAGCCAGGCTCCTGGGGAGAGCAGTTCCCCTTTCTGTGGGCTGAGAATGAGAAAATCCTATGACAAGAAGGACCCAGCCTCCGAGCTGCCACACCCTGTGTGTCTCTCTGTCCTGCCAGGCACCATGGTCTCATCCATCTGCACAGCTGCAGCCAGTGGGAGGAGACGCCGTGAGCCCTGCCCTCATGGTTCTGCTCTGCCTCGGTGAGATTGGAAGCCTCAGGGAAGGGGCACCCTAGTCTGGGAGGGACCCCACCCCATAACGAGGCCCTTGTCTATCAGGAAACTCCAGGGTTTTAGGAGGTTCCCAGGCAGGGGAGGACCTGCTCAGGCTTCAGAGGCAAATCTCTCACAGGGAACTCTCTTCCAGGGCTGAGTCTGGGCCCCAGGACCCACGTGCAGGCAGGTGAGTCTGTCCCCAGCTGTCCCAGGTCCCTCCTCCTCAATGGGGACAAAGGGCCACCCATGGGCAGCTGGGGGTGAAGACCGCAGTTCTGGGTGATTGATGGGGACGTCTGGAGGGTCCTGGGGCTGAGAGCTGGGATCTGAGGGGTGGGGAGGTCTTGGAGCCCAGACTCTGATTTCCTTCCAGGGAACCTCTCCAAAGCCACCCTCTGGGCTGAGCCAGGCTCTGTGATCAGCCGGGGGAACTCTGTGACCATCCGGTGTCAGGGGACCCTGGAGGCCCAGGAATACCGTCTGGTTAAAGAGGGAAGCCCAGAACCCTGGGACACACAGAACCCACTGGAGCCCAAGAACAAGGCCAGATTCTCCATCCCATCCATGACAGAGCACCATGCAGGGAGATACCGCTGTTACTACTACAGCCCTGCAGGCTGGTCAGAGCCCAGCGACCCCCTGGAGCTGGTGGTGACAGGTGAGAGGACACTCTGGGGTCCCAGCTCCAGGCTCTGCCCTCAGGAAGGGGGTCGGCTCTCAGGGGTGTCTCCCTTTCACAGCCCAGCCCTGGGGATGATGTGGGAGGTGGGAGCCCCATTTAACACGGTGCCTCCTTCTCTCCTAGGATTCTACAACAAACCCACCCTCTCAGCCCTGCCCAGTCCTGTGGTGACCTCAGGAGAGAACGTGACCCTCCAGTGTGGCTCACGGCTGAGATTCGACAGGTTCATTCTGACTGAGGAAGGAGACCACAAGCTCTCCTGGACCTTGGACTCACAGCTGACCCCCAGTGGGCAGTTCCAGGCCCTGTTCCCTGTGGGCCCTGTGACCCCCAGCCACAGGTGGATGCTCAGATGCTATGGCTCTCGCAGGCATATCCTGCAGGTATGGTCAGAACCCAGTGACCTCCTGGAGATTCCGGTCTCAGGTGAGGAAGCCACAGTCTTCTCTAGTACAATTCAGGGAAGCCAGACAGGTTGTGGAGAGCTTTACAGGCAGGGCAGCCCCTGCTAAGAAAGACAAAAAGGGGAAGGAGAACACAGAAATCCTAGGGACACAAATTCAGGGTGAGGAAAACAAAGCAAGGGCTGGGCACAGTGGCTCACACGTGTAATCTCAGCACTTTGGGAGGCCGAGGCAGGTGGATCACCTGATGTCAGGAGTTCAAGACCAGCCTGGCCAACATGGTGAAACCCCATTTCTACTAAAAATACAAAAATTAGCTGGGCGTGGCGGCACACACCTGTAATCCCAGCTACTTGGGAGGCTGAGGCAGGAGAATCGCTCGAACCCGGGAGGCGGAGGTTGCAGTGAGCCGAGACTGTGTCATTGCACTCCAGCCTGGGTGACAGAGCGAGACTCTGTCTCAAAAAAAAAAAAAAAGAAAAAGAAAAACAGAGCAAGGGAGACTCCAGAAGGAGGTTTATAGGAGGAACCAGCCCCTGCAGTCCCGGCTCCTTTATCCTTCCAGGTGTGTCTAGAAAGCCCTCCCTCCTGACCCCGCAGGGCCCTGTTGTGGTCCCTGGAGAGAACCTGACCCTCCAGTATCACTCTGATGTTGGCTATGACAGGTTTGCTCTCTACAAGGAGGACAGACGTGACCTCCTCCACTGGCCGGCAGCCCCAGGCTGGGCTCTCCCAGGCTGACTTCCCCCTGAGCTTGGAAGTGACCCCCAAAGCCCCCTCATTTCTGACCTTGTGGGGCATCTGAGATGTGGCTCATCCTAGACCTAGAAAAGCAGCTCCCATCACTCACCCTAAGACCTGGTCTGCTCTTGCCAATAGCTATGCCTCGCAAGGGTTAGAAAGCCAAGAGGGGCAGCTGCAGGTACATGTAATCATATCCATCAGTGCTGGGGTCTGAGGTTCGTGAGACGAAGCCACAATATTATGAGAAAGCAAAGATGTGTAAAAACCCCACTGTTTAGAATCTCCTCTCTCTCACATGTCACACGAAGCGTTTCAGATTTTCTACTAAAAACCATGCAGCTTTACAAGACTCCCAGGCCCCTACCCTATCCTGCGGGATGAGTGATGAGTAGAGGAAGGAGAACAGACCTGGTCAGCAGGATTTGGGGTCCAGGCCTGACTTGGAACATGGGGAAGATGCTGGGGCTGATGGAGGAGGAAGAGAGGCAGGCGAGTTGGAGAGAGGACAGACGGACGCTCCCTTGGCAGCTCTCACTTCTCATTTCCAAGAGCCCCTGAGGATGGAGCCCCTCACCCACACCTGCGGGGTCCCTGAGCCCACTCAGGACAGGGGAGGAGGCTGCTCAGGCCTCGGTGGGATCTGACGGTGATGAGGCTGGAGTCCACGCCAGACCTGCTCCTTTAGAGAGAAGCGCCCCAGCTGTGGGTACCACTCACACCGCCCCTCCTGTGCTCACCTGGAGGCCTCTGTGCTCAGGGCACCCCTGAGACAAAGGAGGGGCCGCGCACCTGCTCCCTGGAGGAAGTTAGGAACTTATTCACAGCACGTCTTGTCTGCTGTTCATTGCTGCTCTGCATTTTCTGGGCATACTTGTTTATTTTTTCTCTCTTCTTCTGAATCTTTTAAAACAATATTTGAATATTTAAATTTGTCTCTTTAAGATATATGGATTTATGATTTAAAAACAAGTAATTCCACTCCCATTGTCCTGGGGGCATAATTCAATATTTACATTTGCTGTATAAAATTAGTTGTTAATAGCAAGTATTTCTATTATTAATATATAAAATTGAAGTTTATTAATGAAGTTAATAAGTGTTTTCAAGTTCCGTTCATAAGAATGTGTACATTTAGTCTAATTTAAAAAATTCTTCAACTACTTTATTCTTAAGTGAAGTATTTGATTCATGTATATTTCTTTTGTTTGTTTGTTTGTTTTTGTTTTTGAGATGGAGTCTTGCTCTGTCGCCCAGCCTGGAGTGCAGTGGCGCGATCTCGGCTCACTGCAAGCTCCGCCTCCTGGGTTCACGCCATTGTCCTGCCTCAGCCTCCCGAGTAGCTGGGACTACAGGCACCCACCACCATGCCGGGCTAATTTTTTTGTATTTTTAGTAGAGATGGGGTTTCACTGTGTTAGCCAGGATGGTCTCGATCTCCTGACCTCGTGATCCACCCACCTAGGCCTCCCAAAGTGCTGGGATTACAGGCGTGAGCCACCATGCCCAGCCTGATTCATTTATATTTCTAAGTAAGATATACACATGAGAAAGCTTTTAGTTTGAGTATATTCATTTAATTTCATTTTAGCTTGCTATAACATTTTTCCCTTTCAATTATCTTTCAACTGATCTCCCCAAATTTACTGATAAAATTTATATTAACTATAAGAAAATTGAAATTTTATTTTTTATTTCTAAACCGCATATCAATTTTTGTCACTTCAAGTATTAATATGCATGTAACTGCATCTTAAATAAATATCTAAAGTTTTACATATATACATATTTATGTATGGTTATATAAGTTACATCTGAATATAAGTGTAGGTATATCTGCATATATTTTTTATACGTATATCTACATGCTTAATGTATTTGACATGGAGGGCTTTTACATGTTTGTTATTGGTCTTCTCACCTAGACTCACACTTTATAAAAGCAGAAATTTTTGTTTGTTTGTTTGAGATGGAGTCTCTTGCCCTGTTGCCCAAGCTGGAGTGCAATGGCATGACCTGGGCTCACTGCAACCTCTGCCTCCCAGGTTCAAGTGATTCTCCTGTCTCAGCCTCCCAAGTAGCTGGGATTACAGGCAGGTGCCACCATGCCCGGCTCATTTTTTTATTTTTAGTAGAGACGGGGTTTCACCATGTTGGCCAGGCTGGTCTCGAACTCCTAACCTCGTGATCTGCCCGCCTTGGCCTCCCAAAGTGCTGGGATTACAGGCATGAGCCACCACGCCTGGCCCTAAAAGCAGAAATTGTTTTATGAGCCTCTGTAACACCATATATATATATATATATATATTTATATATACATATATATACACACACACACACACACACACATTTATATACATACGTATATATATATGACTGACTATATGAATAGTTAGCTGACTAGAGACTTATTGTATGATGAAACACCAGGTGAGGTGGTTGAGGTGGCGTCAAGGGGAGGCAGCTGTTTGTGATTCTGACTTTCAGGAGCCCCTGAGGACCAACCCGTCATCCATGGAGCCTGGGTCCTCAGCTGGTGGATCCGTGAAACTCTCATCTCTGGGGGAATTGGCTTATGTGCTCCTGTGTCCCAGGCTGCACAGAGAGCACAAAGGGCTCAGTGACTTCTGGGGGCCACTTTCCTTGCAGATCCTGAGCTTTCACGGTGCAGGAAAGCTCTTTCCCAAATGACTCAGGAGCAAAGTTTAAATTCAAAGAACAAAGGAAAGCTGAAATAATTCAGTGAGGAGACTGGAGGGAACCCTGCTCCAGCAGAGGGAGGGTTTATGGAGGAACTCCATAAAAGTCATGTTGAGAGGCACAGGGAACTAGGAGAATGCAGAGCTCAGGGGAGAGGCTGGGCTCAGATTGCTTCAAGAACTTCTCCTTCCCCTTCCCCTGTTTTGATTTTCAGGAGCAGCTGATAACCTCAGTCCGTCACAAAACAAGTCTGACTCTGGGACTGGTGAGTGAGGAGATGCTCTCAGTTATGGAACTGGCACAGAGGGTCAGGTCCTGTCAAGATGATATGGGTGCCCTGGGGAGACATCCAGGGGTCCTGGGTGATACTGATCTGCCCTGACCTCTGTGACCTCTTTGTCCACCATCCCCAGCCTCACACCTTCAGGATTACGCAGTAGAGAATCTCATCCGCATGGGCATGGCCGGCTTGATCCTGGTGGTCCTTGGGATTCTGATATTTCAGGATTGGCACAGCCAGAGAAGCCCCCAAGCTGCAGCTGGAAGGTGAACAGAAGAGAGAACAATGCACCATTGAATGCTGGAGCCTTGGAAGCGAATCTGATGGTCCTAGGAGGTTCGGGAAGACCATCTGAGGCCTATGCCATCTGGACTGTCTGCTGGCAATTTCTTTTTTTCTTTCTTTTCTTTTCTTTCTTTTTTTTTTTTTTTTTTTTTTTTGAGATGGAGTCTTGCTCTGTCACCAGGCTGGAATGCAGTGGCGCAATCTGGGCTCACTGCAACCTCCGCCTCTCGGGTTCAAGTGATTCTCCTGCCTCAGCCTCTGGCAATTTCTAGAGGGAGGAATGGGTGTTTGAGTGCAGAGACACTGGTCTGGGGTGATCCATGGAGGACCATTAAAATGTGACACCTTTCCTTTCTATTAATGTTGACTTCCCTTGGTTGGATTCCCTTCTCTTCCCAGCCCGAGACATGAGGCTACATCCCACATGGCAGGCAGCGTTGGGTCCACATCTCTGCACACCTGCATGCTCTGGTCCTTGGCGTGTCACACAGTCCACTTCAATTCTCATTATCACACTCCCTGTGTGCTTTACTGAGCCTCCATCTCTTCAGTTCAGAGTTCCACACCTGAACCAGTAACTAAATCCATGGGAGAAGATCAGATGCCCTCCAGGAAAAGATAAATCCAAAATGGCGTCCTAACCTCCTGTCTGTAGCCTTCAAGCCCCATTCGCTCTTTTTTTTTTTTTGAGACGGAGTCTCGCTTTGTCACCCAGGCTGGAGTGTAGTGGCACTATGTCGGCTCACTGCAACCTCCACCTCCCGAGTTCAAGCAATTCTTCTTCCTCAGCCTCCCAAGTAGCTGGGACTACAGGCGCATGCCACCATGCCAAGCTAATTTTTGTATTTTTAGTAGTGACAGGGTTTCACCATGTTGGCCAGGATAGTCTCGATCTCCTGACCTCGTGATCTGCCCGCCACAGCCTCCCAAAGTGCTGGGATTAAAGGTGTGAGCCACCGCACCTGGCCTGTAGTGACTGGGTTTCACCATGTTGGCCAGGATAGTCTCGATCTCCTGACCTCGTGATCTGCCCACCTCGGCCTCCCAAAGTGCTGGGATTACAGGGGTGAGCCACTGCGCCTGGCCTAGCCCCCTGTCTTGATTATATGCTCAGGGTCCTGGGACCAGGGTCATCCCTGGGTTGAGGGTCCAGGGAGAGGGTCCTAGAGTAGAGGATGCGATGAGGCAGTGGTCCAAGGAGAGCAACTTAGAAAAGGAGAGTGAGAGGCCTGGAGATTACAAAGACCCACACCAAGAGTCTAACAGGAGCTGAGAGAGAGGAGGCCAGTCCCTCAGTTCGGGGTCCAGGACATGTGGGAAGGGGCTGCTTTGTACACACTGCAACCTTCATATTTCCTAGAAATGTACAAGAAACCCTCCATTTGTCTGAGCCAGGGCCCTTAGTGTCCTCGGGAGAGAACTTGACCTTGCAGTGCTACTCAGAGATCTGGTTGGGTACCTTCTGTCTGTCCAAGGACCGGTCACTTGTGCCTCCCCAAAACCATCGATTGAAAGACATGGCCTTACTCTCTCAGGCCAAGTTTACTCCAAGCCCTCTGACTTCAGCCCACAGGGGGACCTACTAGTGCTGTGGTCCACATAGTTCCTCCTTACCCCTATTGTCACACCCCAGTGACCCCTAAAGATTTTGGTCTCAGTACAGGAGCTCCAAGCACCACATCCGTTAAGATTCTAAACCTTAGCATGCATCCCTGTGCTAGGAGAGCCCCGGCCTGGGATAGAAGGAAGGAAAAACAGCAGGGACCAGTCATAGGGCAATCCCATCTCAGAAAGGGATGAAGAAATTCATGAAAGTGGGGGTCATTCTCACTCTCCATGCCTTACCCTACTCGGGGGTCACAGAAGGTGCTGGGTGAGTGGAATGAGAAGATTTGAAAAGGTAGGGGGCCAACCTTTGAGCAAAAGAGATGAAGCTGAGGAACAGAGCAAGAGGCACCACAACCCCACCTACTCCTTCTGTCCCTGCCCCAAACAGTCTGTGGGATCTGCAGCTCCTCACCCTCATGGACTCACTTCATGTTGGCTGAGCAACAAGGTCCTCACAGACTACAGGAGTCACAGTCTCCGGCAGCTCTGGGCTGAGTTTCTCAGCTTATTCTTCTGCCCTTGAAGTCTTTACAGAAGAGGTTGTTTCCAGAGAGCCTGGGAAGAAAGGTAGAGATGAAGGGAGGGAGCCTTATTTTCCAAGCAGCATTGAGGTATTTTGTTCCTGCTGGGTGGTCAGTATGAGGTGAAATGTGTAAAGAAAAAGATGAGCATAAGGATAGGAAAAATAGACACTGTGGATTACTAGAGGGTGGAAGAGGGTTAAAAACTACTTATTGGGTATTATGCTCACTAGTTGGGGGATGTGATCCGTACTCCAAACCTCAGCATCAAGCAATATTCCCATGTAAGAAATTTGTACTTGTACTCCCTGTGTCTGAAATAAAAGTTGGAAGGAAGGAAGAGAAAGAAAGAAAGAAAGAAAGAAAGAAAGAAAGAAAGAAAACGAACAAGAGGTCCAGCTGAAGTGGAGAGAGGAGTGGACCCTATTCCTTGCCCCTGTCCATGGTGCTGATTCCTAGGGATTGCAAAGATGCCCCAGGCACCTGTGGAATCAGGTCCGCAATCAGAAGAGCAGACTAAAAGGTCCCTCTTATTCTGTAGGACAAGTGGGTGGGTAAGCTCTTATTGTGAAGGACAAGTGGGTGGGTAATTCACAGAAAGTCATAGCTTGAAGTGGAGATGGCTCAGCCACTCTAAGATAGACGCCTTTAGCAAACTCTATCTAAATCTGGGATAGTACTCTTCCATCCATCAAAGGCAGAATGCCATCCTTGTTTCCAAAAGGTATCTCAGTTCTAAACTTCTGTACCAGTAACTTCCTGGGAAAGAACGTATCAGAATTCACTTTTTCTGTGACTCCTGTCTACTCTGGACATATTTTGTCTCTACCATTAACTGTTTTCATCCTGTGGAGGTAGGAATAAAAGCAAGATAGCAGTTTTCTGATTAGATTTCCATAATCATCAGGTTGTCACCCTGGCAGGAGAAACCACAACACTGAGTACTTGAAAGATAACCTCTCCTGGGTTTGAAACTTCCTGTACAGTGGCGTGATCTCTGCTCACTGCAACCTCCGCCTCCCAGGCTCAAGCGATTCTCCTGCCTCAGCCTCTTGAGTAGCTGGGATTACAGGCATGCACCACCATTTCCGGCTAATTTTGTATTTTTAGTAGAGACGGGGTTTCACCATGTTGGTCAGGCTGGTCTTGAACTCCTGACCTCAAGTGATCCACCCACCTCGACCTCCCAAAGTGCTGGGATTACAGGTGTGAGCCACTGCACCCGGCCACATATCTCCTTATTCTAGTTATTCTCAGAGAGTATTCTGTATATGTATATTTCTCTCCATCCAATGATTTGAGATTGATGGTTTTATTGTAGATAGGTTTTTTTCTCATTTTATGTCTTTATTGATTTTTACTTAATTTATTGCACATCTGTGAATACAGATCTATGTTACTTCACAGCACTTATTAAATTTCCTCATAATCAAATAAGTCTTGTCCACACTAGGAAACTTTCTGCATATTTGTTGAATACTTCAATCAGCTGATCCTATATTGAATAATATTATTTTTCTGGATCTTCATATAATGACCACTTTGTCATTTTTTCATTTTTCCAAACCTGTCACATCCTCAAAGACATTTTCCATGACAAAGTGGGTTAAGTGATTCTTGCCCACCTGTATTCTCTAATAGTCCTTGTATTAGGTTGACACACATTCGAGATCTCTAGGTAGCTTAATTTTTTTGTCCATGTATCCATCTGCACATGTTGTTTTCTAATTTATCTCCTTAAAATTTTTTGCTTTTTTCTCATGAGTTTCTACATTGAATTAACAATGGGAGATTTTTTTCACTGTAGTATTTCTTGCTCCTGGAAAAGAGGCTTGGATGCGGCCCGGCATGGTGGCTCACACCTGTAATCCTAGCACTTTGGGAGGCCGAGGTGGGTGGATCACCTGAGGTCAAGAGTTCGAGACCAGCCTGACCAACATAGAGAAACACTGTCTCTACTAAAAATACAGTATTAGCCAGGTGTAGTTGTGCATGCCTGTAATCCCAGCTACTCAGGAGGCTGAGGGAGGAGAATCGCTTGAATCGGAGGCAGAGGTTGCGGTGAGCCGAGATTGCACCATTGCACTCCAGCCTGGACAACAAGAGCAAAACTCTGTCTCAAAAAAAAAAAAAAGGCTTGGATTCTAAAATCATTCTCTCATTCATCGCAAAACAGGACAGATGAGTGGACCCAATCATTAAAAGTGAGGCAGTGATTATTACTTTTAATAGTAGTAGTATTAAGCTACACTGGACCACAGAGATAATTAGATGAGGCAGAACAATAGAAAAGGCAGTGACAGCCTTTAGCTCTGTTGTACCCTGGACTCTGGTACAATCTAGAGTCCCACATACGCATCTCTGAATTCTGTATTGACAGATGAAGAGTTACTAGAGGTATTTACCTTAAGGGGTTAAGCACGGGTTTACCTAATATGGGAACAAATTGAAGATGAGAAAGGAGCACAGTTAAGTATTCCTGTATCTTTGAATTCCTTTTTTCTGTCACTGAGTTGTGGTTGCAAAACTAAACTCTTAATATCCCCCAAACCGAGAGGTTGGTGGTGACCTCAATGAGGCCCAAGAACTTGAACAAATTTGAGGAAGGAAATCATACAGTGCTCCATCTGAGGTGGGAGTTGAGGTTAGCAAGGATGGTTACACAATTCTCCCATGAGAAGGGAAGAGAGGTCCAGGCGCGGTGGCCCCAGCACTTTGGGAGTCCAAGGCAGGTGGATCATCTGAGGTCAGGAGTTCGAGACCAGCTTGACCAACAAGGTGAAACACTGTCTCTACTAAAAATACAAAAATTAGCCAGGCATGGTGGCAGGCCCCTGTAGTCCCAACTACTCTGGAGGCTGAGACAGAAGAATTGCTTGAACCTGGGAGGCAGATGTTGCAGTGAGCTGAGATTGCACCACTGCACTCCAGCCTGGGCAATGGAGCAAGACTCCATCTCAAAAAAAAAAAAAAAAAAAAGAGGGAAGAGAGTTGTTATGAAGGAGCCAAGACAGGGGAGCAGGAGTAGAATGGCCCCAGCTGCTCTAATCCTCCCATGCTCTTATTCGTAGGAGTCCTTGATCCTCTCAACCAGCATCCACCAAGTATAGTTTCAAAGTCAGGAGTAACTACGACTTCTCTTTCAGGAGTGTGAATGTGTAAACACCCATCCAGGCTCCCAATGTGGGTGCAGCCTGTCTAGCCCCCAGTGAATGCCCTGTTCTGTCTACTGACCATGCCCCTTCAGACTATGCAATGGAGAATCTCATTCCAATGACCATGCTGGCTTGATCCTGGCGGTCTCTAGGGGATGATCTTTCAGGCTCAGCACAGCCAGAGAAGGCCCCCAAAGGCCGCCAACATGGAAAGTCAAGATGATTTTGGATTGACTCTTCAGTTTGGAGAACTTTGAAAAATCTGCATCAGAAAAGCTGTGCTGGCCCTAGAAGAATCTGGGAGAGCTGGAGGCACGTGCTGTGTGAACGCTGTGCTGAAGGATTGAAGATGACTACTATTTCTTTTAGGTGAAGGATATGCAAGAAGAAGTTAACCTAACAGTGATGAGGATGCTAACTTTAGAAGGACTTGTTTGTGAGCTTGATTCTTGGTTGGCATCTAGGAACTTGCTTCTAGCATGTCCCCTGTGTTACTAAGAGACAACGTGAGGTTGTGTGCCTGCGGCACTGAATTCTGCTGTTATGTCTTCACTAGGCTGTTTCTGTAAACAGTGTAATTCATGGCGAACACCCGGTTTCCTCTGGTTTCTCTGTAGCTGCTCATTATGCCTATGTGGTCCCCACCTAATAACAATCTTGAACATTGAGTCTCAAGCAGATTTGCCTGGGGCCAACACTGCACATGTGTTGCTGCATTTTATGCTGGTGGAATGAACAAGTTAAGACACAGGTTTGCACAACTTATAACCAACATCATTTTTCTTTTATTTTCTTTCTTATTTCCATAGGTTTTTGGGGAACGTGGTGTTTGGTTACTTGCAGAAGTTCTTTAGTGATGATTTCTGAGATTTTTGTGCACCCATCACCCTAGTAGTATACATTAAACCCGATTTATAGTCTTTTATCCCTCACCTCCTCCCTCCCTTTCCCCCGAGTCCCCAAAGTCCATTGTAGCATTCTTATGCCTTTGCATCCTCATAGCTTAGCTCCCACTTAGGAATGAGAACATAAAATATTTGGTTTTTCATTCCTGAATTTCTTCACTTAGAATAATAGTCTCCAATTTCATCCAGGTCACTATGAATGCCATTATTTTGTTCCCTCTTATGGCTGAGTAGTATTCCACAGTGTATATATATTTGTGTGTGTGCGTGTATACATATATATATGTATATATGTGTGTGTATATATGTATATATGCGTATATATGTGTGTATATGTATATATATGTGTATATGTATAGATGTATATATGTGTGTGTGTATGTGTGTATATATATATGACAATTGCTTTATCCGCTTGTATAATCAACATTATTTTTCTCAAATGTATTTTGGCAAATAAAATATTTTCCAAAAAGTGAAAAAAAAGTTACTCTTATATAACGATGGCCTAAGATACCACCTACTGATGAAAGTGAGGTGGCAATTTTGGATTAACGGGCATCACAGGCAACTACATAGATCCTCTCAGCAAACATACATGAGGAAAACCAAAACCAACCAGACAGCCAGAACCGGAATTAAAAACTAGTCCTTCGACTGGGCGTGGTTGCTCACGCCTGTAATCCTAGCACTTTGGGAGGGCGAGGCGGGCGGATTGCCTGAGCTCAGGAGTTCAAGACCAACCTGGGCAACATGGAGAAACCCCATCTCTACTAAAATACAAAAGAAATTAGCCAGGTGCGGTGGCATGCCCCTGTAGTCCCAGCTACTCAGGAAGCTGAGGCAGGAGAATCACTTGAACCCAGGAGATGGTGGTTGCAGTGAGCCAAGATTGTGCCACTGCACTCCAGCCTGGGCAACAGAGTGAGACTCTGTCAAAAAAAAAAAAAAAGGAAAGAAGAAAGAAAGAAAGAAAGAAAGGGGGGGAGTGAGGGAGGGAGGGAGAGAAGGGAGGGAGGGAGGGAGGAAGGAAGGAAGGAAGGAAGGAAGGAAGGAAGGAAGGATTTCTACTCATGACTGTGATAATCTGTGTATTTAAGCAATATTATATGTACAATTTCTTAGTGCTCAGGGTAGATGAGGATTCTTGGGTGGGAGCGTCAATTGTCCAACACCCTGATTTTCTCAAATTTACAACCCTATGTCTTACTCTGTCCTGGGAATTAACCATCATTGAGCTCCTTCGAAGTCCCAGTCACCGCCGACCCCCACGACCCCTCTGATGAGTGGGGTGTGTAACAACTTGCTCCACACAAGGAAACTGAGGCTCAGAGAAGGGGTTGTGAAGGCTCAAGGTCACATGGGCAGCAGATAATGAGCAATCATTAAGTAAAAATCAGCTCCCCATCCCAACAGGTGAGTTCCCCTCAGGGAAACAAAGGACACTGAAGACTCAGGAGTGGATCACAAGTCTGTTTCCAAGGAGACGAAGGTGGATACTGCTGCTAAGAGAAAGGGAAAGTCCATGGAGGGCACGGGTTGATAGAGCAAACTGGCAGTGTTGGATACAGGTCGTGTTCTCTACCCATATTTCCTGTGTTTCTCCATTGCGCTCATTGCCACAGTGCAGCTCAACTTGAACTACACAGCCTGATGTCAGATGCGTCTCTGCTGACCTGAGTCTGCCCTGCACCATGGACCTGCATTTTCCCTGAAGCATCTCCACGACGGATGAGATGACTGGCCATGGTAAGGACCCCACAACCCCGTGCTGATAGACAGGATGAAGGAGTAAAGGAGACCCCATGTGGAGGCTCTGAGAGGGGAAGAGAAGCCCTCAGTTACCCTCACCTGGAAGAGGCTCACTCAGGGAGGCCCTGGGCCCATTTTTCTACTACATCCTAGCCCTCAATAAGATGAGGAAAGATCCTGCAGCCAGTAGCCAAGGATCAGGGGGAGCCCATTTCTGTCTGAAATGTCTTCAGGAAACCTGGTGCTCACTCCCACCTCAGCCCTGGGGAAATGAGAGCCAGGCTTCTGCAGTTCCCCTTCCTGTGGGGCTGCTGATGGGACAACCCCATGACAGGGAGAACCCAGCCTTTGAGTGTGTCTGTCTGTCCTCCTGGACACCATGGTTTCATCCATCTGTACAGCTGGGGCCAGTGGGAGGAGATGCCGTGACTCCCACCCTCACAACCCTACTCTGACTTGGTGAGATTTCAAGAGGAGAAGGGGCACCCTAGTCTTGAAGGGACTTAACTCCAGAGCCAAGCCCTGGTCTATCAGGAAATCTCAGGGGTCAGGATGCTCCCAGGCAGGGGAGGACCTGCTCAGGCTTCAGGGGCAAATCTCTCACAGGGAACTCTCTTCCAGGGCTGAGTCTGAGCTTCAGGACCCATGTGCAGGCAGGTGAGTCTGTCCCCAGCAGTCCCAGGTCGCTCCTGCTCACTGGGGACAACGGGCCACCCCCAGCCACCTGGGGATGGAGAACAGCATCTCTGAGCTGACTGATGGGGACATCTGGGCGGGTCTTGGGACTGACAGCTGGGATTTGAGGAATGCATTAGTATCTTGGGACCCAACCTGTGATTTCATTTCAAGGCTCCTCACTAAACCCACCACCTGGACTGAGCCAGACTGTGTGATCCCTGGGAGGAGGCCTGTGACCACCTGGTGTCAGGGTACCCTGGAGCCCCAAGAGCACCAGCTGGATAAAGAGGGAAGCTCAGTGTCACAGAACATTAAGGAAACCACTGGGGCCTGGGAACAAGACCAGGACCCATATCTCACACAAGCCAGAGCACAATGCAGAGAACTGTCACTGTTATTATCAAAGTGCCACAGGCCGGTCAGGGCACAGTGACCCCCCTGGTGCTGGTGGTGACAGGTGAGAGGACACTCAAGGCGCCCAGCCGCAGGCTCTGTCCTCAGGAAGGGGGTCACTTGCGCCCTGACTTTACTGTCTTTTAGGGATGTCCCATAAAGGGGCAGAAGTGCTGAAGCTCTCAACCTCTGGGTGGCGTCTGCATATCGTGCAGAACCATCTGCAAACCAGGCTTGAGTCTTCACTTTCTCTGTCAACGGAGCATAGAGAAATCCCCATGAGATTATAGGTGCAGGCTGGAAGGCAGAAGGTTGTGTAGCAGGGACAGGAACCATGGGCATTTGGCCCCCTGCTTTGTGTAAATTGCTCACACTTTCAGGGCCTGAGTGGACATGATCTTATTATACAGCTTGCATCGGCTAACACACACTTCACATTTCATGGTACCTTGGTGACCTGTGCCCAAGCATCCAGTCTCTCCTAAGGCTCAATAATGGAAAAAAATATAATATTTTCCTTTTTTTTTTTTTTTGAGATGGAGTCTCACCCTTCTTGCACAGGCTAGAGTGCAGTGGCATGATCTCGGCTCACTGCAATCTCCGTCTCCTGGGTTCAAGCGACTCTCCTGCCTCAGCCTCCCAAGTAGCTGGGATTACAGGCAGGTGCCACCATGCCCGGCTAATTTTTTTATTTTTAGTGGAGACAGGGTTTCACCATGTTGGCCGGGCTGGTCTCGAACTCCTGACCTCAGGTGATCTGCCCACCTTGGTCTCCCAAAGTGCTGGGATTACAGGCATGAGCCACTGTGCCCGGCAAAAAAAAATATATGTTTTTCAAAAGGAGACTAGCTATCTGTGAATGATGATAGGATTTTGCTCCACAATCCTAAGTGTCTAAGCCCCAATTCACCTATAGGAAGGAGCTTGTCAAAACCTCCAAACAGCATCTCGATCTGCCACTGACACTTCAAGCACCATCTGTTCCACTGGATCATATGGCCCAGGTGGCAGAAGAGCTTGTGCAGGACCTGGATCTGTTGCAGAGCCTTCCCCTATTCCACACCCCACTCAAAACTTTTTTTTTTTTTTTGAGATGGAGTCTCACAGTGTTGTCCAGGCTGGAATGCAATGGGACAATCTCGGTTCACTGCAACCTCTGCCTCCCAGGTTCAAGCAGTTCTCCTGCCTCAGCCTCCTGAGTAGCTGGGATTACAGGCGCCCGCTACCATGCCTGGCTAATTTTTTGTATTTTTAGTAGAGACGGAGTTTTGCCATGTTGGTCAGACTGGTCTCAAACTCCTGACCTCATGATCCGCCCACCTCGGCCTCCCAAAGTGCTGGGATTACAGGCATGAGCCACTGCACCCGGCCTCCTTTTGAGTCACTTAGTAAATGGGCTAATGGAGCACACCCACATGAGAAATATGTTGCTTTCAAAATCCAAGAGGTAGGGCCAGGCACGGTGGCTCACGCCTGTAATCCTAGCACTTTGGGAGGCCGAGGTGGGCGGATCATGCAGTCAGGAGTTCGAGACCAGCCTGACCAACATGGTGAAACCTTGTCTCTACTAAAAATACAAAAATTAGCTGGGCGTGAGGGCGGGCACCTGTAATCCCAGCTACTAGAGAGGCTGAGGCAGGAGAATCGCTTGAAATCGGTTGCAGTGAGCCCAGATTGTGCCACTGCACTCCAGCCTGGGCAAAAAAAGCAAAATTCTGTCTCAGGAAAAAAAAAAAAAAAACCCAAGAGGCTTACTAGGTACCATGGTTCTTTTGGTTGTAGGAAGGGCCAGATGCAACAACTTACCTTTTGCTTTAGAAGTTACATCTCAACATTTTCCATATCAGTGGACTCAGAAATTGTGTTGAGGCGGAAGGCTCCAATATTTTTGTGGAATTTATTTCTCACCCTCTGTCATGCAAATGTGTTACTAATAAATTTGGAATAGGTGCTACTTCTTGCTTTCCTGGTCCAAATAGCATAATTTCTTTTTTTAACTTTATTTTATTTTTATTTTTGATATCTAATTTAATTTAATTTTATGTTCTGGGATACATGTGCAGGACCTGCAGGTTTGTTACATAAGTAAACAAACGTGTGCTGTGGTGGTTTGTTGCACCCATCAGCCCATCACCTAGGTATTAAACCCGGCACCCATTAGTTATTTATCCTGAGGCTCTTCCTCCCTTTTCCCCCCAACAGGCCCAAGTGTGTGTTGTTTCCATTCCTGTGTCCATGTGTTCTCATTGTTCAGCTCCCACTTATGAATGAGAACATGCAGTGTTTGGTTTTTGGTTCCTGTGTTTGTTTGCTGAGGATAATGGCTTCCAGCTCCATCCATGTCCCTGCAAAGGACATGATCTCATTCCTTTTTATGGCTGCATAGTATTCCATGGTGTATATGTACCACAGTATCTTTATCCAGTCTGTCATTGATGGGCATTCCAACCAGCATAATTTTATCAATGTAATGATTCAGTCTAACATTTTATGAAAGGAGATGATAATGATGATTATGGTGAGAACTAAACTATGGGATAGAACTAAACAGTTGGTATGTGCCTGAGGTAGGACAGTGAATGTATATTGCTGGCTGTGCCTGCTCAAGGAAAATGGTTTCTGGTGGTCTTTATTAGCAGTGCTGGATAAGAAAGCATGGTGGCTCACGCATGTAATCCCAGCACTTTGGGAGGCCAAGGCAGGAGGATCACTTGAGGTTAGGAGTTCGAGACCAGCCTGGTCAACATGATGAAACCCCACCTCTACTAAAAATACAAAAATTAGCCTGGCATGATGGTGGGTGCCTGTAATCCCAGCTACTTGGGAGGCTGAGATAGGAGAATTGCTTGAACCAGGGAGGCGGAGGTTGCAGTGAACCGAGATCACGCCATTGCACTCCAGCCTGGGCGACAGAGCGAGACTCCGTCTCAAAAAAAAAAAAAAAAAAAAATAGAAGAAGAAGAAGGAGAAGGAGAAGGTGAAGGAGAGGGAGAGGGAGAGGGAGAGGGAGAAGGAGAAGGAGAAGAAGGAGGAGGAGGAGGGTGTGGAGGAGGAGGAGGAGGAGGAGGGTGCCACTGCACTCCAGCCTGGGCAACAGAGTGAGACTGCATCTCAAAAAAAAAAAAAAAAAGAAAAGAAAGATAGATCTTCTAGACTCTTCCAATTTAGATGAGGCCGTCTTGAATGACAACTCCTCTCTAACATTTTAACCTTCCTAAACATTTGAATCTCTTTCTCCGTAGTAAACCAAGGCAGGTCTGGCATGTTGAGTCTAATCACTTTGGGCCACCTTTGGTGGAAACCTCCACCCTAATGACCCCTTGATGGTCCCAGGCACCTGTGGCGACTCACCTCTGGCCTCTGTTATTTAATGTGGATCCATCTACACTTGGAGACTTCCACGCCTCTTTTTCTGCTCATGATATTGATGTTCTGCATATTTCAGAAATACTTCACGTACATTTCTCCATTAGGGATCCCAGATATGAGATCTTGAGAGAACACATCAATCATCCAACGCTATGATCCTATCATATCCCAAACACTTCATGTGCTGACCTGGTCTGGAAATGAAGCACAGATGAGCCTCTCCCATGTGTCAGGAACCACTGACCCCACAACCACTGTGACCAGTGGGATTTGTGACAACAAGCTGCAAAGGAAGAAACTGAGGCTCAGAGATGGTTCATTACCGCCCGAGGTCACGTAGGCAGTGAATGATAACCAGTCTCTGAATAAATATCAGCTTCCTCCCCCACTCCCCAAATCAAAGCTCAAATATAAGTCATTGTTCCCAAAACGTTGAACAGGGATTAAGGTGCAGAGGGACGGCCAAGGATGCAATGGGCACCGAGGAGGCAGGAAAGACTCAGAGGTTTGTTCCCAGGGACGTCAGGGGTGGACGCTGTAGCCAAAAAAAAAGGGGGGGGAAGTAAAAAAAAAGGGGGGGATTACTATTGATTAGAAAGAAAACCTATAGTCCAGGGCCACAAAGAGGGTCATGACTTCCTCTCTTTATTCCCTGCATTTCTCCTCTGTTCTCACTGCCACACACAGCTCAGCCTGGGCTGCACAGCCAGGTGTCAGGTGCGTCTCTGCTGATCTGAGTCCACCCTGCAGCATGGACCTGCATCTTCCCTGAAGGATCTCCAGGGCTGGAGGGACGACTGCCATGGTAAGGACCCCACAACGCTGAACTGATGGATGGGCTGAAGGAGGGAGGGAGACCTTGAGGGAGGCTGTGAGAGGGAGGAGGTCGCCCTCACCTGAAAGGGGTGACTCAGGAAAGCATTGGTTCTTTTTCCTGCTGCATCCCAGGTCTTAGTGAGATGAAGACAAGGCAGACAGACAGTGGCTGGGGGTCAGGAAAGACCCCATTTCTGTCTGAAATGTCTATAGAGGAGTTGGGCCCACCCCCACCTCAGCCCTACAGGAAAGACAGCCAGGCTCCTGGGAGGGCAGTTCCACTTCCTGTGTGGCTGCAGATGACAAAACCCCATGAGAAGAAGGACCGAGCCTCCAAGTGTCCACACCCTGTGTGTCCTCTGTCCTGCCAGCACCGAGGGCTCATCCATCCACAGAGCAGTGCAGTGGGAGGAGACGCCATGACCCCCATCCTCACGGTCCTGATCTGTCTCGGTGAGATTTGAAGAGGGAGGGAGCTTCTAACCTAGGAGGGACCTCACCCCACAGCCAAACTCTTGTCCCTAAGGAGACCCCAGGGGCTCACAAAGATCCCAGGGAGGGGAGGACCTGCTCAGGCTTCAGGGGCAAATTCCTCATAGGGAACTCTCTTCCAGGGCTGAGCCTGGACCCCAGGACCCACGTGCAGGCAGGTGAGTCTGTCCCTAGCTGTCCCAAGTCCCTCCTCCTCACCGGGGACAAGGGGCCACCCCTGTGCAGCTGGGGATGGGGAATAGCAGTTCTGGGCTGACTGATGGGGGTGTCTGGAGGGTCCTGCAGCTGAGAGCTGAGATCTGTTGGGTGGGAAATGACTTAGAATCTGAACTCTGATTTCCTTCCAGGGCCCCTCCCCAAGCCCACCCTCTGGGCTGAGCCAGGCTCTGTGATCACCCAAGGGAGTCCTGTGACCCTCAGGTGTCAGGGGAGCCTGGAGACGCAGGAGTACCATCTATATAGAGAAAAGAAAACAGCACTCTGGATTACACGGATCCCACAGGAGCTTGTGAAGAAGGGCCAGTTCCCCATCCTATCCATCACCTGGGAACATGCAGGGCGGTATTGCTGTATCTATGGCAGCCACACTGCAGGCCTCTCAGAGAGCAGTGACCCCCTGGAGCTGGTGGTGACAGGTGAGCTGACACTCAGGGATCCCAGCCCCAGGCTCCGCCCTCAGGAAGGGGGTCAGCTCTCAGGGGCTTCTCCCTCTCACAGCCCAGCCCTGGGGATGACGCGGGAGGTCTGAGCCCCATTTAACACGGTGCCTCCTTCTCTCCTAGGAGCCTACAGCAAACCCACCCTCTCAGCTCTGCCCAGCCCTGTGGTGACCTCAGGAGGGAATGTGACCATCCAGTGTGACTCACAGGTGGCATTTGATGGCTTCATTCTGTGTAAGGAAGGAGAAGATGAACACCCACAATGCCTGAACTCCCATTCCCATGCCCGTGGGTCATCCCGGGCCATCTTCTCCGTGGGCCCCGTGAGCCCAAGTCGCAGGTGGTCGTACAGGTGCTATGGTTATGACTCGCGCGCTCCCTATGTGTGGTCTCTACCCAGTGATCTCCTGGGGCTCCTGGTCCCAGGTGAGAAATTCACAGCATTGCCTGGGGTTCCCTGAGTCTCCCTGAGTCTCCAGGCAGGTGGGGAGGAGCCGCGTCTCAGGGCAGCTCCAGGTGGGATGATGTTGGGGCGAGAGGGCTCAGGGCTCCTGGGGCCAGAGACACAGGAAGATCAGCAGTGGTGAGGCCCCGGGGGAGAGGGAAAGTTTGTGGGGAAGCCTGAGGGTCGGCTCCTGGAAACCATGAGCACCTTTTCCCAGGTGTTTCTAAGAAGCCATCACTCTCAGTGCAGCCGGGTCCTGTCGTGGCCCCTGGGGAGAAGCTGACCTTCCAGTGTGGCTCTGATGCCGGCTACGACAGATTTGTTCTGTACAAGGAGTGGGGACGTGACTTCCTCCAGCGCCCTGGCCGGCAGCCCCAGGCTGGGCTCTCCCAGGCCAACTTCACCCTGGGCCCTGTGAGCCGCTCCTACGGGGGCCAGTACACATGCTCCGGTGCATACAACCTCTCCTCCGAGTGGTCGGCCCCCAGCGACCCCCTGGACATCCTGATCACAGGTGAGGAGCCCAGCGGGTTCAGTCAGGGACCCAGGCTCCGCAAAGGCCCTGCTGGGGGAGCCCAGGTGGTGATGGCCGGGATGAGGGGTGGGGGTCCTAAGGGAGGGAGAGACAGACAGTGACAGGGGTGGGCGGGGAGGGGAGACTCAGAGAAAACAGAGACAGAGAGACTGAGGGTCCCAGGGAGAGGCCTGGGGAGGTCTCAGCTCAGAGCAAGGTGGGGCAGCCCCTCACCCATCCTTCTTCTCTCCAGGACAGATCCGTGCCAGACCCTTCCTCTCCGTGCGGCCGGGCCCCACAGTGGCCTCAGGAGAGAACGTGACCCTGCTGTGTCAGTCACAGGGAGGGATGCACACTTTCCTTTTGACCAAGGAGGGGGCAGCTGATTCCCCGCTGCGTCTAAAATCAAAGCGCCAATCTCATAAGTACCAGGCTGAATTCCCCATGAGTCCTGTGACCTCGGCCCACGCGGGGACCTACAGGTGCTACGGCTCACTCAGCTCCAACCCCTACCTGCTGACTCACCCCAGTGACCCCCTGGAGCTCGTGGTCTCAGGTGAGGGCCCTGACCCTGTCCTCTCTGAGCTCAAAGGCTCAGCTCAGGCCCTGCCCCCAGCAGAGCTCTGGGACAATAATGAATGAGGGGAGTGAAGGGGGAGGGTCTGCAGGGGAGGGTCCAGACCATGAGAGGGTGGAAATCGACAGGGACCTCTCACCCCTGGCTCCCACCCCTGAAGTCCCAGTAGAGTAAAGAGCAGGGAGGGCTGGGAGGAGATGGCGGGGCCGGGGGGTGAACCTCAGAGGAGAGGAGATTAGACTGAGAGTGGAAGACAGAGGCCCCACCCGCTCCCCTCCTGATGTCTCCACCTCAGAATCTGAGCCTCTGGGTCCCAACCTCTAAGTCCTGACCCCATGGGTCACAAAAAAAAACAGCCACTCCCAGCTCAAGAGAATTTTCTAGACTCATCTCAATGCTACCTCCAATATTCAGGGTCTGATTTCCAGGGAAGCAGAGGGGAGGGTGGACAGTAAGGGTGTGGTCTGCGTGGCTCCCTGGGGCTCCAGGGATGGGGCAGGTGTTCCCTCCGTAGTGTTCAGAGGGGAGGGAGGTGTCTAAGATTCAGCATTGATGAGTGGAGCAGCGGGGTCTTTCCCCCTCCCTCAGCAGGATTCCCAGGAGCCGTCACCTCTCATTGGAGAGCCAGGGTCAGGGGAGATCACAGTCAGGTACTTGGTCTAGGAGTCAGGTGGGAGGAGCCCGGGGAGGTGGGGCTGGGTCTGTGGTGGTTCAGCCTCTCCTTGGGAGGTGGAACTTCTGAAAGAGACCGTTCCCCTTGCACCCTGGACTCCCCATCTGAATAAGGGGGAGCTGCCTGGATGTGACCGCCCCAAAGCCCCTTCATTTCTGACCTTCTGGGGCATCTGGGATGTGGCTCAATCCTAGACCTGCTCTCATCTCCAGCCATCTCTGGCCCTGTCCTGATTCTCCAAATAACTGAGACTTGTAAGGGTTAAAAAGCCAACAGAGATGGGAGCGGGTGCATGCAGTTTCACTCATCCCTCCTGGAACCTCAGCTTAGTAAGACAAAGCCACAGTATTTTGAAACAACAAAGGTTTACAAAGCCCCACTGTTTTAGAATCTGCTGTCTTTCTTTTTTTTTGTTTTTTTTTGAGACGGAGTCTCGCTCTGTCTCCCAGGCTGGAGTGCAGTGGCACGATCTCGGCTCACTGCAACCTCCGTCTCCCGGGTTCACGCCATTCTCCTGCCTCAGCCTCCCAAGTAGCTGGGACTACAGGCGCCCACCACCACGCCCAGCTAATTTTTTATATTTTTAGTAGAGACAGGGTTTCACTGTGTTAACCATGATGGTCTCGATCTCCTGACCTTGTGATGTGCCCGCCTCAGCCTCCCAAAGTGCTGAGATTATAGGCGTGAGCCACCGCGCCCGGCTGTGTTTGGATGTTTTAAAGCACAGTGGCCTGAGGGAAACTGACTGGGCGGCTCCCTGTGGCATGGGAAACCCGGGGGAGGTCAGCGGGGGCTACAGTGCAGCCCAGCTCTGGGCCTGGGGGGTTCATGTCCAATGTTGTCCAATCACTGGATAATTCTAACATCTAACTAAACCTCTTTTATAGGAAAAAGAGATGCTTTAAAATTGTTAATTTAAATTTAAATCAGAAGAGGGCAATTTGGTAATAAGTTAATATGAAATACAATGAATATACCCAAACCAGTAGCTTTCTCATGGGTACTTATCTTTTGTTTAAAAAATATAAAGGAATCAAATACTTCACTTATAAGTTGTCAAAGGTGTTGAATAATTTGTCATATGAGTTACCTCTGAATATGTCTCTTCTCCTCTGTTTTGATTCTCAGGAGCAGCTGAGACCCTCAGCCCACCACAAAACAAGTCCGACTCCAAGGCTGGTGAGTGAGGAGATGCTTGCCGTGATGACGCTGGGCACAGAGGGTCAGGTCCTGTCAAGAGGAGCTGGGTGTCCTGGGTGGACATTTGAAGAATTATATTCATTCCAACTTGAAGAATTATTCAACACCTTTAACAATGTATATGTGAAGTACTTTATTCTTTCATATTTTAAAAATAAAAGATAATTATCCATGAGAAAGCTACTCGTTTGAGTATATTCATTGTATTTCATGCTAACTCACTACCAAATTACCCCATTCTAATTGCTTTTCTATGGATCTCCTCTAATTTCCTGATGAAATGTATACAAACCATGAGACAATGGAGATTTTACTTATTTCTATATTGCTTGCCAATATTCTCACTTCAAATATCAATATGTATGTAACTACATCTTAAATATCTAAAGTTTTACATCTATACATATTTATGTGTGGTTATATAAGTTACATTTGAATATGTGTGTAAGTATTTCCAAGTTCACTTGATAAATATATCCATATTCTTAATATATTTGATGGCCAGGCGCAGTGACTCATGCCTGTAATCCCAGCACTTTGGGAGGCCAAGGCGGGCAGATCACCTGAGGTCAGGAGTTTGATACCAGCCTGGCCAACATGGTAAAAGCCCATCTCTACTAAAAATACAAAAAAAAATTAGCCAGGCATGGTGGTGCGGCCCTGTAGTCCCAGATACTAGGGAGGCTGAAGCACAAGAATCACTTGAACCCGGGCGGCAGAGGTTGCAATGAACCGAGATAGTGCCACTGCACTCCAACCTGTGCGACAGAGTGAGACTCCATCTCAATAAAAATAAAAATAGGCCGGGCACAGTGGCTCATGCCTACAATCTCAGCACTTTGGGAGGCCGAGGTGGGAGGATCATGAGGTCAGGAGTTCGACACCAGCCTGGCCAACATGGTGAAACCGCCATCTCTACTAAAGATACAAAAAAAGTAGCTGGGCGTGGTGGCGTGCACCTGTAATCCCAGCTACTCGGGATGCTGGGGCAGGAGAATTGCTTGAACCCAGGAGACGGAGCTTGCAGTGAGCCGAGATCACACCACTGCACTCCAGCCTGAGCAACAGAGCAAGACTCTGCCTCAATAAATAAATAAATAAATAATAAAAATAATAAATAAATAAATAAGACATTTGATGTGGTAGGAGTTTACATGTTTGTTACTGGTCTAGATTCACCTAGATTCACACTTTGTAAAAGCAGAAATACTGATTTATGAACCTCTAATAGCACCACTATTTAGCAGACAGATATTTTTGGATGGGGGCCGGGGGGAAGGTATCACATCATTCTAGGTTTTCCTGATTATATGAAGAATTAGTTAATTAGATTAATTGGACAATGAAAACCCAGGTGAAGGGGAGGCAGCCCCAGACTTTCACCGCTTTGTGCTTCTGACATTCGGGAGCCCCTGAGGACCAACCCCTCATCCAGGGAGCCTGGGTCCTCAGCTGGTGGATCCGTGAAACTCTCATCTCCGGGGGAATTGGCTCATGTGCTCCCGTGTCCCAGGCTGCACAGACAGCACACAGGGCTCAGTGACCTCTGTACTGGGGACCACTTTCCTTGCAGATCCTGAGCCCTCAGGGTGAAGGAAAACTCTCCCCCAAATGACTCAAGAGCAACATTTGGATTTGTAGAAAGCAGGAAAGCTGAAATAATTCATTAAGAAGAACGGAACGAACACTGCTACAGAGGAAGAGTTTACTAAGGAACTCCTTAGAACTCATGTCAGGAGACAGGGGAAGATAAGAATGCCGAGCCCATGGGAGAGGCTGGCTCAGGGTACTTCTCCTTTGCTTTGATTCTCAGGAGCAGCTGATACCCTCAGCCCATCACAAAACAATTCAGACCCCAAGACTGGTGCGTGAGGAGATGCTTTCAGTTATGGGGCTGGCACAGAGGGTCAGGTCCTGTGAAGGGGAGGTGGGTGCCCTGGGTGGACATCCAGAGGTCCTGGGTGATGTTGATCTGCCCTGACCTCTGTGGTCTCTTTGCCCACCATCCCCAACCTCACACCCCCAGGATTACACAGTGGAGAATCTCATCCACATGGGCAAGGCTGGCTTGATCCTGGTGGTCCTCAGGATTCTGTTATTTGAGGCTCAGCACAGCCAGAGAAGCCCCTAAGATGCAGCTAGGAGGTGAACAGCAGAGAGGACAATGCATCTCTCAGAGTGGTGGAACCTTGGGAATAGATATGGTGATCCCAGGAGGTTCCGGGAGACAATTTAGGGCCAATGCTATCTGGACTGTCTGCTGATAATTTCTAGAAGGAGGAATCAGTGTTGGATTGCAGAGATATTTTGCAGGGTGATCCATGGAGGACCATTAACATGTGATACCTTTCCTCTCTATTAATGTTGACTTCCCTTGGTTGGATCCCCTTCTTTTCCCACCCCTAGACATGAGGCTACATCCCACATGGCAGGGCTGGATCCACACCTCTGCACATCTGTGTGCTCTGGTCCATGGTGTGTAACACAGTCTTCTTTATTCCTCATTGCCATACTCCCTGGTGTGCTTTATTGAGCCTCCATCTCTTCAGTTCAGAGTTCCAAACGTGCTTCAGTAACTAAATCAATGGGAGAGTATCAGATTTCAACCAGGAAAAGATAAATCCACCCTGATGCCCTGACACCCTCTCCAAACCCTACAAGCCCTTCCCTCCTTCTCAGATGCTACCTGTGTATCTTCTCCTCAGATCACTGTGTAACCATCACTGCCATCCTGTTCCACACATTGTCATCATCCTACACCCATTCAGCAGCCACTCCCCATTCCCTCTTCCCTCCAGCACCTGCTAACCACAAGTGTGCTTTCTGTCTCTACGGATTTGCCTATTCTGTCTGAAAACATTTCAATCTCCTTTGACCTGTGAGCTCCTCACTTCGAGACTTCCTGCCTTTCCAGGCAGAACCAAAGTACACCACGTCAAAAGCAATGATAGGCATTTGCAGTGTGTTGGTGATCCACGAAAGGAAAATCACGGAAGTAGGATAGAAATCCAGCTGCAGACAAGACCTCAGGTCGATGAATCTTGTCAAGCAGTTGAGCTGTTTCTTTCTACTCACCTATGACAGTCAGACAGAAGTATGCAAAATGACTGGGGCTGATTCTTTTCTGAATTGTCCCAAACAGCAAGAGGACTTGAGTCCTAGCATTAAAGAGTTCAACATATCTAGGTCCAAGACGACTGTTGTGTTTGAAGGATGTAAAGCTTTGCTGTATAGGATAGAATGTTTGGAGGGAGGATCCTGAGAAAACATGAAGGACCAAATATTCACAATCTACTCTCTAGAATAAAGAAATGTTATCATTCACCATCTACCCTCTAGAGTAAACAAATCTTATCATTTGCCGTCTACCCTCTAGAGTAAAGAAATCTTATCGTTCGCCAGCTACCCTCTAGAATAAAGACATCTTATCATTCACCATCTACCCTCTAGAATAGAGAAATGTTATCATTCACCATCTACCCTCTAGAATAAAGAAATCATATCATTCACCATCTAACCTCTAGAATAAAGAAATCTTATCGTTTGCCATCTACCCTCTAGAATAAAGAAATGTTATCATTTGCCATCTACCTTCCAGGATAAAGAAATCTTATTAAGGACATTTTCAAAGCCTTAACAGAATATGAATGATTACAATATTATGTTTTACCTATACAGCGTCTTCCAAGTTCTAGTTTGGTTGTGCCAGGCCAAACATTTGAGCCAGATTTCGGCAAGATCAAGCAGGAGACTCTGGCATCTGTCGCTGATTACCTTCCCACCATACCCGGCCACCAGCCTTTCCCATGGACCCCCACATGTGTCTCCAGACTCTCGGGTACGAATCCTGTGAACACACTGACCTCCGCCTTCTGCATGACTGATCAGCAATATGAAATTTGCATAAACACAAATAGAAAATATACTGTCCCCACATTCCCTAAAATAAAACTGGGTCCTCGCCCATGGGCTTTTGCTGGATTATACTAACAAAAGGCAGGTCTTATAACACACATTCCATAGACTCACATCTCAGAGAATGTTGGTTCCACAGGCTCAGGATCCTGAACACACTGCTCCACTCTCAGGGCTCAGAGACATTCTGCATGTGGGTCTTCACCCCATTCGGGAGCCCTAATTCCTTCTTCCTCGGTTTTTCATACAGTGATTTTTCCCAGTCATCTTTAATACCTTCTTTTTTTAAAAAAATAAATAAAGATGAGTCTCACTATTTGCCCTGGCTGGTCTTGAACTCCTGGGCTCAAGTGATCCTCCCCGCTCAGCCTGCAAATCCCTTCATGCCCAGCCCTTACAACTTCATTAAAACACAAAATTTTAGTTTTTATTTCTAAAACTTTTTGGATTATGTTACATTTTGTTGAATATTAATATTTCCAATAGATATTTTACTAGTATACCTTTCTTCACTTACTGATTGTAAATTATCATTTCATTTTAGATGGTACTATTGTGTTTCATGCCTAGGTGTGATTGGGGTACTGGGCTATTTAACTTATCCTTCAGTGGATGAATTACTCTTTTACATACAGGATTAAAAAAAAAGAAAAATTTGGAATAACTTCACCTATTTAGTTAAGTATTCACTCAATTATATATTTTCGAATGAGGATTCATTTATCCTTGCCTTTAGAGAAGACACGTTCTAATTCCACTGTAGCTGAACTCTGAGTACTCACATGTGTACATGCACACTGACTCATACATGTGTGCCCGTGTGTGGTTGCATTCATGTGGGCATGTCTGTGTGTGATTTTCAAATACTTGCCTGTTTCTCACTTACATCACTGTGGCATCTCATATTCTACATTTTGGATTCATTGATTCTTTTTTTTTTTTTTTTTTGAGACGGAGTCTTGCTCTGTCGCCCAGGCTGGAGTGCAGTGGCACAATCTGCGCTCACTGCAAGCTCCGCCTCCCAGGTTCACACCATTCTCCTGCCTCAGCCTCCCGAGTAGCTGGGACTATAGGCGCCCACCACCACGCCCAGCTAATTTTTTTGTATTTTTAGTAGAGACGGGGGTTTCACCGTGTTAGCCAGGATGGTCTCGATCTCCTGACCTCGTGATCCGCCCTCCTCGGCCTCCCAAAGTGCTGGGATTACAGGCGTGAGCCACCGCGCCCGGCCGGATTCATTGATCTTCCAACTGGATGATATCATTTAAAATTGCCTTCACTGAGCATGAAAACAGTAATATCTAGTAACTTGCAGCTCAGAAAATGCCTTCTTTTTCCTCCCACTCTCTCTATCAAAATAGATGAAAACATTTCTGTATTAGTTAAAGGGTAAGTATAACACCTGGAAGAGAAAGCACATCTGATGATTTGAGAGATCCACCCTCCAATCCCTCCTCAGCCCTCACGAAGGGGAAGCCCAACCAGACAGCTTCACAGGTCCGTCTTGCCCTGAGCCTTCTTCTGTTTAGGAATTGGTCCCCTGCTGACCCCTTTACCTTTCAGGTATTAACCTGAGTAAGTATAGAATTCCTCACTTGCAGTTAGTCCCCTGAGAGTACTCTCTTAGCATCTCCTTCCCTTATCTTTTTACTATCGGGAAGTCCAGTCCCACTGAGAAGCAATGCTATTGACATGTTGAGTTGAAAATCACAAAACACAAAAATGCATTTTAAATTACATAATTCAGTCTAGCATATGTATTTTTTAATTTACTCCTATTTTTCAGTTTATCATGAGAGGTCAAGATTTGCATTTTGGCCAGGCGCGGTGGCCCACCCCTGTAATCCCAGCACTTTGGGAGGCGGAGGCAGGCGGATCAGGTGAGGGCAGGAGTTTGAGACCAGCCTGGCCAACATGGTGAAGCCCCATCTTTACTAAAAATACAAAAATTAGCCGGGTGTGGTGGTGCGTGCTTGTAGTGCCAGCTACTCGGGAGGCTGAGACAGGAGAATCGTTTGAACCCGGGAGGTGGAGGTTGCGGTGAGCTGAGATTGTGCCACTGCACTCCAGCCTGGGCGACAGAGTGAGACTCTGTCTCGAAAAAAAAAAAAAAAAGATTTGCATTTCATGCTTAAATGTATGCACACTAGTGACTTAATTACTTCCTCCCTGAAGACCCCAATGGCACCAGACACAAATGCTCTGTCAGTTTTAATTTTCTCTTTAATGCAGGCGCTTCTCCTTCTGACAAGCTTTCATTTCTCATTTTCTGGACATGACTGTGATAACCGGGGTGTTGATGAAATATTATGAGAAGCATCTCTCAAGGGCAGGAACAAAGGGGCTCTCCTTAGTGGAAACATCAATCTCAGGCCTTGATGGTGGGCGCCAGCATCCCCTCATGCCCCCACCCCTCCTGTCTTCACCTGCTCTGGAAATTACCCATGGCTGAGCCCCCTGCAGTCCCCAGGCTCCAATGACCCAGCTCCCCTGTGATAAATGGGGTTCATCACAGGCTCCAAATGAGGAAACCGAGGCTCAGAAATGGGAGGTTACTGCCCAAGGTCACACAGGCAGGGGGTGACACATGAATATTTAAATAAAGACAAGATTTTCCCTCAAAGCAGAGTGCTAACCCCACGTATTGTCCCAGAACCTTGAACTCAGGAGCACAGGATGGGAACAGGAGTGTTTGAAAGAAGACGGGGGCACCAAGAAGGCAGAGTCAGGTCAATGTTGTTTCCAGGGAGACGGGGGCGGACGCTGTTGCGATGAGTGAATGAGAAGTTCGTGAAGGGAACGTTTTTGCATAAAGAAAACCCACACTCCAGTTCTGGGAAAAGAGACATGATTCCTTCCCTTGTCTCCCTGTATTTCCCCTTTCTGTTCATCGCCACAATAAAGCTCAACTGGAACTGCACAGCAAGATGTGAGATGAGTCTCTGCTGATGTGAGTCTGCCCCGCAGCCTGAATTTGCATCTTCCCTGAAGCTTCCCCAGGACTGGTGAGAAGACTGGCCATGGTAGGTTCCCCACAAGGGTGTGTTTATGGGTGAGCTGAAGGAGAGAGTGAAACCCCATGAGGAGTCTCTGAGAGGAAGGAAGAACCCTCCGTTGCCTTCACCTGGAAGGGACCAACTCAGGAAGGCACCACGTCCATTTGCAGCTACGTCCCGGCCCTCAATGAGACGAGGACATGTCAGGCAGACAGTGAAAGGAGATCAGGAGAGATGCCATGCGTGTCTGAAATATCAGCAGAAAGCCTGGTGCCTGTCTCAAAGGATGGTTCAATATATGCAAGTCAATAAAGGTGACTCACGACATAAACTAAGAACAAAAAGCATGTGATCATCTCAACCGATGCAGATAAAGCATTCGAGAAAGGCCAAGTCCTGGGAAAACATGAGCCAGCGGGGTCCGGGACAGCTCACCACCCATGGAGATGCTGGTGGGAAAATCCTGTAAGTGGGAGTAAGGAAGGAGACCACTACTACTCCTGCTGCCCTCCTCCCCCCACCTTGCCTAGTTCACAAAACAGGAAGAGAGAAAAAGCCAAAAGTTGGAAAAATACAAAAGTAAGATAAATAGCCAGACAACCTTGGCACCACCACCCGGCCGTAGGAGTTAAAAAAAGTAATAATAATAACATCAACCCCTGACCTAAACTACTGGTGTTATCTGTAAATTCCAGACACTGCATGAAAAAAGCACTGTAAAACTTTTTGTTCTGTTAGCTGATGCATATAGCCCCCACAGTCACGTTTCCCACGCTTGCTTGATGTATCACGACCCTTTCACGTGGACCCCTTAAAGTTATAAGCCTTTAAAAAGGCCAAGAATTTCTTTTTCGGGGAGTTCGGCTCTTAAGACGCGAGTCTGCCCACGCTCCCAGCTGAATAAAAACCTCTTCCTTCTTTAATCCGGTGTCTGAGGAGTTTTGTCTGCGGCTCGTCCTGCTACAGGAGAGCCCTGCCTCTCTGTGCCATGACTGTCACTCCCATGGCCATGGTCCACTTCACTGAGATTTGACGAGGGGAACGGGAGATTCTAGCATGAGAGGGACCCTGCCCCACAGATAGGCCCTGGTCCAGTAGGAGACCCCAGGGGCTAGGGAGGATCCCATTCTCATTTTCCTGGGAAAATGTTTTCACTTCTCCCCATTCAATTTGATGTTGGCTGTGGGTTTGTCACGCAGGGGGTGTTGGTATTTTGCGGTATGTTTCTTTCATGCCTAGCCTGTTGAGGGATTTTATCACGAAGCGATGTTGGACTTTCTTGAAAGCTTTATCTGCATCTATAGAGATGATCATATGCTTTTTGTTCTTAGTTTATGTCATGAGTCACTTTTATTGACTTGCATATATTGAACCATCCTTTCTTCCCTGGAATCAAGCCAACTTGATCATGATGAATTATGTTTTTGATACACTGTTAGATTCCGTTTGCTAGTATTTTCTTGAGGATTTTTGCATCTGTGTTCCTCAGATTTCTTGGCCTGTAGTTTTATTTTTCTGTTGGATCCTTGTCTGATTTTGCTATCAGGATGATACTGATTTTGTAAAATGAGCTGGCAAAGAATCCCACTTCCTTGATTTTTGGAATACTTTCAGTATGATTGGTACCAGCCCTCCTTCGTACATACAGCTAAGTTCAACTGCGAATCCATCTGTTCCTGGACTTTTTTGCTGGAAGATTTTTAGTACTGATCCTTTTTCATTGGTTGTTATCGGTCTGTTTAGAGTTTCTATTTTTTGCCTGTGCAATCTTGGGAAGTTGTGTGTGTCTAGGAATTCATCTATTTTCTCCAGGTTTTCTAGTTTATGTGCATAAAGGTGTTCATAGTAGTCTCTGATGATCTTTTGTATCTCTGTGGTGTTGGTTGTAATGTCAACTTTATCATTTCTGATTGTGCTTATTTAAATCTCCTTTTTTTGGTTAGTGTAGTCAGCCATCTCTCAATTTTATTTATACTTTCAAAAAACCAACGTTTTCTTTCATTGATTCTTTGTAATGTTTTTGTGTCAGTCTCATTCTTTATCTGTCCTTTCAGAGTTTCCATTGTTTTCAGCATCCATCACTAGCGAGCCAGTGCGATCCTTTGGTGGTGCCACAATATTCAGATTTTTCACGGCGTCAGAATCCTTACACTGATTCCTTCTCATCTGGAGAGGCCTCCACTTACTCTCTTCGAATTTATTTTCGTTTGGATGGGATTTCTTTTGCACATTTTCCCCCAGCCCCGCAGGGAGGGTGACTGTAGAGCATGTTGGGAAGGGTCTTTTGGCTTTTCCCATGGCTTTGGGAGCTTCTGCAGCAGGGTTTGCATTGGGCTGTGCAGCTCAGATTGCAGGCCAGGAGCTGGTGCTTAAGGGTAAGAGCCACGCTCGGCACAAGCAGGTGGATGTGGACCTGGTGTGTTTCCTGTGAGGTGCTGACTCTTGTTTCAGGGGAAGGGCTGGACCGTGGAGTGTCAGGTGCCCTGAGCTTCCTGTTCCACAGGGGCGAGGGAACACCCCTGGGCAGAGCTGGAACCCCCGGCTTGCCCACAGATATCCCAGTGATGAGTGCAGGCACTAGTCCTGATGGACATGGCTGGAGCAGCTCCTAGTGAAATGCCCTGAGGTCTCTGCGGGGGGTGAAGGAGCTACACCGTTTCCAGTCCCATAGGGAGGAACGTTGTCTGTCTCCCTATCACACCCGTGCTCCAGGGCTCATGAGTCTCAGTTCAGACACACACTCTTGTCTCTCCCCAGGCCACAGTGTGGCTGAGGGCAGTGGGAAACACCTGCCTTGCCACTCTCTGCAGGCGTGATTCCAAGGCAGAGCCTCCTCCCTCAGCCCAGTGCAGACCCTGAGCGGCTGTCTGTTGTCTGACGTGGTAGCTGCTTCATGTAGGTGGGATGTGGGGCTTCTGCCTCTCTGGATGGGAGAGTGGACATCAGTTGTGGTGGTGTTGCTGGCTGGGTGGGCCCGACCTCAGGCCCTGGGGTGAGTGGTCAGGTGCCAGCAGGTAGGAAAGGGCAGGTAGTTCCCGGATCACAGGCCCCTAGGTGGCCGGCTGGACAGCGTGTGTGAGTCCTGAAGGGGCTGGACTGGGTTTCGGCTGCTCCAGGGTTCAGATGCTGGCTGTGATGGGGAGGGATGGGCTGGTCCCCAGGTCACCGGCAGAACCTTCAGGCGGGGCAGGCAGAAGGCTCAGGTGGTAGAGCCTGCGGCAGATCACAGGCCTGTGGGGACTGGGCTCTCAGAAGGGCTGGGGGCTGCAGCTGAAATGTCCAGGTGGGGGCAGGGTGGCTGAGCTGTGGGCCTGTCACTAGGGAGGGCAGCGCCCCTCGGCTGGGGCACTGGAGACTGGCAGCTGTGAGGCACAGGGCCCGCTCACACTTCCCTCCTGAAGAAGTGTCACTCGGTTTTGCTCTGGGGACACGTGAAAGTGCCAGGCCTCCCCACACCCTCCCTGGGCCTGGGGCAGCAGGGGCAGAGGCAGAGGTGGCAGTGACTGCAAAGGGCTTGTCAGGGGCCTCTGAGCATTGGGCTTTCAGAGGGCACCGAGCCAGGGCCACGGTGTTCGGGTGGGGGCAGGACGGGTGCACTGAGGCCCTGCAGCTGGCAAGCCCCATTAGCAGGAAGGAAGCCCCATTTCGCAGGAAGCAACAGAGGTGGGCAGCTGTGTGGTGCTCAGCTTGGCTGCTCCTGTGCCCCAGCTGTCATACTTATTCTGGGGCCCACAGAGGTGCCTGGCCTCCTCCCTCCCTGCTAAGGCAGTGGCAGCTGGACCCAGGCTGCTCAGGGATCAGAAGCCTGTGGGATTCCACGTGGGCTCCAGTGGGGCCTTGGTACAGTCTCCAGGAGAAAACTGTGGGCCTCTGGAGGCCCAGAGGGGACAGGCGCTCTCCTGTGGGCAGGATCCTAAGGGCCCACAGCAGAGGTGTAGATGCCAGGGACCCCTCACTCACTCACCCCTTCCCTGTGTTAGGGAGGCTCTCACTCATTCACCCCTTCCCCGTGTTAGGGATCCTCTCACTCACTCACACCTTCCCCGTGTTAGGGATCCTCTCACTCACTCACCCCTTCCCCGTGTTGGGGAATCTCTCACTCACTCACCCCTTCCCCGTGTTGGTGAATCTCTCACTCACTCACCCCTTCCCCGTGTTAGGAGCCTCTCCTGGCTCCCACCTTTTCTCTTCTCTTCTCTCCATGTCCTCATGTTTCTCAGGTGAACCCCAGCATCCTCTTGGAAGATCCACTTGACCTGTTGGTATTTACTCGCTATTTTGGGTCCTCTTAGTGAGTAGGCAGACTCCAGCCCTTTCCATTCAGCCAACTTGAACCTCAGCCCCCAGTCATTTTCTTGCACTTTTTACTCTTGGGAAATCCAGTCCCAATGTGCTTGTCTTTCATTGGACAATAATTTTCATTTTCTCCAGTAGTTTTAAAATTACTTTGTATCTATTCTAGGTATCTTTTACTCTATCATAGTTAAGACATTGATGTTATTTATGAATTTGTTCACGTTAAACTCATGTTCTTTCTTCATTTCTATAAAAATGTCAACCATTTTCTTTGCAAGTATTTACTGAATAACATACTCCTTATTTCCTTCATTCTGAAAGTGTGATCCAAAGAGAGATATCTGTTTCCTCTTTTCATTCCATTTCTTGTGTGCATTAATTATCTTTTCTATTTTTTTCATTTCTAGTTTTTCTCTGATGACTAATGAAAAATTTTAGTAAATATTCTACACCAATACAATGTTTATCATTTCAGCTGTGTCTTGTTCTGGATGAAATTATTTCTAAATGTGTTAATATAATTTACTATTTTCACATCACAATAGCTTCCTAATTCATTTCTACAATTGCCTGTTTTTTCTCTAACGGACTCTTTGATTTTTATTCCTCTGGGGTGGGTTTTTCTCCCACACACCTGATCTTCCATATAGGGTTTCTCCCCAGGCTGACTCAGGAAGGAAAGCTGATGAGGGCATTGCTGTAGCCGCTCCTGCCCTGCGGTGTCCATGCTCCCAAGCTTAGAATCACCTCTGTGTTATGCCCGGCATGGCGGGGTCCATGTGAGCCTCACACTCCAGGGTCAGAGATGCCCGGTCCAACAATGATAAAGCGCATCTGTGTCATGCACACCCGGGAAGGTGGCTCAGTGCTGAGTGTAGCCCGGGTCACTGAGTCATCCCAGGGTCTGTCCACAAACACAGAAGAGGGGGAGTCACAGTCTCTAAGGTCCCACAGTTTCCTCCACTTTTTTCCTTGTTCTGAGAGTGAGACAAAGGGCCATGACTGTTCTGTGGGTTGGACAGATGCATGTTTCCACCTGCAGGCTGGAACCCAAGCTGAGGTCTTGAGCATCCCCAAGTACTGATAAAGCACTTTAGGTTGTTTCTAGAAAACACTGAAAAATTAACCCTTTTGCTAAAAGTGTAGAAACAAGCCCTCCCCTGAACCAAATTCCTGAAACTCTCAGGTTAAACTTCGTAACCCCATCCCTTCACTGCAGACTCCCAATAGAAAAGTTACAGGTGCAAGGATGAGATGACTTTGGTCAAACTCAGACCCCACAGGGCCAGGAAGGCCTGAAGGAGAGGAGGCCCATGCTTCCACGTCTCAGATAAGAACTGTTTCTAAGGACTTTTAAAAAACCCATAAGAAACTCTTCCATGTCCTTCAGCCCCTTCTGCTTTGACAAAGTTTATCACTAGATGTTCTTTAGGACGTCAGGAATTCAGATAAGATGCTCTCAAGAGAACCATTGACCAGCAACAGCATCTCCTCCAATGGACTGACAGCAACTCTGGCTTTGAACCTGTGGAACCAGGGAACTCTGTTTCCAGGCAGCTCTGTCAGGCTCTCCCTTGTTGCTGATAAGAACTTCCTTTACCTCTCTATGTACAGAGAGCTCTCTCTACGGTGCTTTTCCTCTACTCTCACGTCACAGGAATCATCAACACAGAAAAAGACTTCTAGGACCAGATGTATGGGGTTTTTTTCCCCAGACGCAGTAGCGAACAGCAGCTGGGTGTCCTCTAAGTCAGCTCTGGTGCTGTCTACCCAGAGACAGTCCCGGATCCCACAGATTGAAGGCCCATTCCCCAAAACTGCCCCCAACACCATTCCCAAGTCCAGACCTCCAGAACTTCTGACTGACTGGCTTCAAGTTGGGGATCCCATGCCCCACTCTTTGGGTTTGATTAATTTGCTGTAGCAGCTCACAGAACTCAGGAAACACTGACATTTCCTGGTTGAATACAAAGCACACTGCAGAGGACACAGATGAAGAAACTCATAGGAGGAGGCATGGGGGAAGAGGCCCGGGGCTTCCATACCCTCCCTGGGCGTCGCCCTCCAGGAGCCTTAGCATGCTCAGCCACCCAGAAACTCATGAAACCCAGTCCTCTGGGGCTTTTATGAAAGCTTCATGACATCAGCATTTCCTCCCACAAGGAACAGGGTGAGACTGTCTTCTGGGAGGGTCTTAAGATCCACTATCAGAAAGGCAGGGAACATTCGAGTCTTACTTTGGGTTAGGTGAAGGAAGGGCAGGAGGAGGTCAGAGGCCTCCCCTGAGGCCCAGCACAGCCAATGTTATAACAAAAGACTATAACAAGGGCTATGGGAGTTACAAGCCAGGAACTGCGGGTGAAAACCAGCATATATCACAACATCACACTTCCCTCTCTGGACACACTGTGGCTTGCCATGCCATGCACTCCATATTGTAATCCTTGCTTCTCACTCCCAAATAAACTCAAAATCCAGGCAACCCTGGAGCAATGCAGCCTTGAATTCCAGGGGTCTCTTATATGCACACTTTTTCCAAACAAACGGGGATCAAAACTATAGCATTTGTGAGAAACAAGACTTGCGTATATGAACGGCAGACTTTTCCTATATGCAGACCCAGCAGAGACAACGTCAGGGCTGGAGTACGAGCAAGTGTTGGTACATGTAGGGGGTACTGAAACGAATTGCCTGTGTATCCCAAGAAACAACTGTACTGAGAGATCATATTTTCTAGGGGTTTATTTTTGGTTTTGTTTTTATTTTAGGTTAAAGCTTTGGATAGAATACCCAGTGTCTCCTTGTGCATCTGAAGAACATGCTGCTATGTGGAAGCACATCCTTGAGATCCACAAGGAGACACTGGGCAAGAAGACAAGGATGCCCCACTGTGCAGAGGTCCCCCTAATAAATGCTCTATGAACACCCTGGTGTTTAGTGCTTCTTTCCTTGGAATTCCAGCAGGTCTGGACAGTTTGGTGCACTCCCTTGAGGGAATTCCCCTGGGCTGCTTGGGGTCCACTCCAGCCTCAGGTGTAGCTAGAGGACGCAGCCTCCCACCTTGGTCTGGAGCCCTGAGCCCCTCACTGTCATTGCAGATCCCGGGGTTCCTCTCCCGGCTCCACTCAGTGGTGGAAACCTCCACCCTAATGAGCCCTTGATGGTCCCGGGACCCTGTGGCATCTCACCTCTGGCCTCTGTTCTTTCTTGTGAGTCCGTCTACACTTGGGGTTTCCACATGTCTTTTTCTGCTCATGACCTTGATACTCTGGGTATTTCAGAAATGCTACACATACGTTTCTCCATTACGGTCAGATGTGACATCTTGAGTGGACTCATCAATCACCTACAGAATGTGGAGTCCAACAGCAAGATCCTCTCACGTCCCAAAGCCTCAGGTCTTACCCTGGTCTGGAAATCAAGCACAAATGAGCCCCTCCCAATGTCCCAGGCACCACTGACCCCACAACCACTGTGACGAGTGGGATTCATGACAACAATCTGCAAAGGAAGAAACTGAGGCTCAGTGATGGGACATTACAAACCAAGGTCACGTAGGCAGCGGATGATAACCAGTCATCAAATAAATATCAACTCCCTCCCCCACTCCCCAAATCAAAGCTCAAACATAAGTCATTGTTCCCAAAATGTTGACCAGGAATTGAGGTGCAGAGGGACGGCTAAGGACGCAATGGGCACCGAGGAGGCAGGAAAGACTCAGAGGTTTCTTCCCGGGGGGGAGGGAGTGGACGCTGGAGCAAAAACATTTAAAAAGGGGAAGTTAAGAGGGGACTATTTGGTTGAAAGAAAACCCACAATCCAGTGTCAAGAAAGAAGTCAACTTTTCTTCCCCTACTTCCCTGCATTTCTCCTCTGTGCTCACTGCCACACGCAGCTCAACCTGGACGGCACAGCCAGATGCGAGATGCGTCTCTGCTGATCTGAGTCTGCCTGCAGCATGGACCTGGGTCTTCCCTGAAGCATCTCCAGGGCTGGAGGGACGACTGCCATGGTAAGGACCCCACAACGCTGTGCTGATGGATGGGCTGAAGGAGGGAGGGTGACCATGTGGGAAGCTGTGAGAAGGAAGGGGAAGCCACTGCTACCCTCATCAGGAAGGGCAGACACAAGAAGCACCAGTTCTATTTGCTGCTACATCCCGGCTCTCGGTGAGACGAGGAGAAACCAGACAGACAGTGGCTGGGGGTCAGGAAAGACCCCATTACAGTCTGAAATGTCTGCAGAGGGCCCAGTGCCTGCCCCCACCTCAGCTCTAAAAGAATGAGAGTCAGGCTCCTGGGAGGGCAGTTCCGCTTCTTGTGTGGCTGCAGATGACAACACCCCATGAGAAGGACCCAGCCTCTGAGTGTCCACACAGGGTGGGAAGGAGGGGAGGCTATTTCTCTCTGTGTGTCTCTGTCCCGCCAGCACCGAGGGCTCATCCATCCGCAGAGCAGGGCAGTGGGAGGAGACGCCATGACCCCCATCGTCACAGTCCTGATCTGTCTCGGTGAGATTTGAAGAGAGAGGGGAGCTTCTAACCTAGGAGGGACCTCACCCCACAGCCAAACTCTGGTCCCTAAGGAGACCCCAGGGGCTCACAAAGATCCCAGGGAGGGGAGGACCTGCTCAGGCTTCAGGGGGCAAATCCCTCACAGGGAACTCTCTTCCAGGGCTGAGTCTGGGCCCCAGGACCCACGTGCAGACAGGTGAGTCTGTCCCCAGCTCTCCCAGGTCCCTCCTCCTCACTGGGGACAAGGGGCCACCTCCGTGCAGCTGGGGATGGGGATTAGAAGTTCTGGACTGACTGATGGGGGCATCTGGAGGGTCCTGGGCTGAGAGCTGAGATCTGTTGGGTGGGAAATGACTTCGAATCTGACCTTTGATTTCCTTCCAGGGACCATCCCCAAGCCCACCCTGTGGGCTGAGCCAGACTCTGTGATCACCCAGGGGAGTCCCGTCACCCTCAGTTGTCAGGGGAGCCTTGAAGCCCAGGAGTACCGTCTATATAGGGAGAAAAAATCAGCATCTTGGATTACACGGATACGACCAGAGCTTGTGAAGAACGGCCAGTTCCACATCCCATCCATCACCTGGGAACACACAGGGCGATATGGCTGTCAGTATTACAGCCGCGCTCGGTGGTCTGAGCTCAGTGACCCCCTGGTGCTGGTGATGACAGGTGAGAGGACACTCAGGGATCCCAGCCCCAGGCTCTGCCCTCAGGAAGGAGGCTCTCAGGGGTGTCTCCCTCTCACAGCCCAGCCCTGGGGATGATGTGGGAGGTGGGAGCCCCATTTAACACGGTGCCTCCTTCTCTCCTAGGAGCCTACCCAAAACCCACCCTCTCAGCCCAGCCCAGCCCTGTGGTGACCTCAGGAGGAAGGGTGACCCTCCAGTGTGAGTCACAGGTGGCATTTGGCGGCTTCATTCTGTGTAAGGAAGGAGAAGATGAACACCCACAATGCCTGAACTCCCAGCCCCATGCCCGTGGGTCGTCCCGCGCCATCTTCTCCGTGGGCCCCGTGAGCCCGAATCGCAGGTGGTCGCACAGGTGCTATGGTTATGACTTGAACTCTCCCTATGTGTGGTCTTCACCCAGTGATCTCCTGGAGCTCCTGGTCCCAGGTGAGAAATTCACAGCATTGTCTGGAGTTCCCTGAGTCTCCCTGAGTCTCCAGGCAGGTGGGGAGCAGCCGTGTCTCAGGGCAGTTCCAGGTGGGATGATGTTGGGGCGAGAGGGCTCAGGGCTCCTGGGGCCAGAGACACAGGAAGATCAGCAGTGGTGAGGCACCGGGGGAGAGGGAGGGTTTGTGGGGAAGCCTGAGGGTCGGCTCCTGGAAACCATGAGCACCTTTTCCCAGGTGTTTCTAAGAAGCCATCACTCTCAGTGCAGCCGGGTCCTGTCGTGGCCCCTGGGGAAAGCCTGACCCTCCAGTGTGTCTCTGATGTCGGCTATGACAGATTTGTTCTGTACAAGGAGGGGGAACGTGACCTTCGCCAGCTCCCTGGCCGGCAGCCCCAGGCTGGGCTCTCCCAGGCCAACTTCACCCTGGGCCCTGTGAGCCGCTCCTACGGGGGCCAGTACAGATGCTACGGTGCATACAACCTCTCCTCCGAGTGGTCGGCCCCCAGCGACCCCCTGGACATCCTGATCACAGGTGAGGAGCCCAGCGGGTTCAGTCAGGGACCCAGACTCTGCACAGGCCCTGCCGGGGGAATCCAATTAGTGATGGCCGGGATGAGGCGGGGGGTGGTCCCAAGGGAGGGAGAGACAGAGAGAGAGACAGGGGATGGGTGGGGAGGGGAAGACTCAGAGAAAACAGAGACAGAGGCTCCTAGAGAGGCCTGGGGAGGTCTCAGCTCAGAGCAAGGTGGGGCAGCCCCTCACCCATCCTTCTTCTCTTCAGGACAGATCCATGGCACACCCTTCATCTCAGTGCAGCCAGGCCCCACAGTGGCCTCAGGAGAGAACGTGACCCTGCTGTGTCAGTCATGGCGGCAGTTCCACACTTTCCTTCTGACCAAGGCGGGAGCAGCTGATGCCCCACTCCGTCTAAGATCAATACACGAATATCCTAAGTACCAGGCTGAATTCCCCATGAGTCCTGTGACCTCAGCCCACGCGGGGACCTACAGGTGCTACGGCTCACTCAACTCCGACCCCTACCTGCTGTCTCACCCCAGTGAGCCCCTGGAGCTCGTGGTCTCAGGTGGGGGCCTTGACCCTGTCCTCTCTGAGCTCAAAGGCTCAGCTCAGGCCCTGCCCCCCAGGAGAGCTCTGGGCTGGGATGGAGTGAGCGGGGGTCTGAGCGGGGCTCAGCCAGTGGGAGACTCACCCTCAGAGGGAAGGAGGACAACAGGCCCTCCCAGGCCTGCGCACACTCAGCGGCATCGCCAGCATCATGGACAGGAGAGGCGGGTGGAGGGAGGGGCCTGGGGAGGCCACAGGGCCCATGTAGAGAAATTTGGTTTGAGGTGGAAACTTCAGGAAAGCCCCAGCTCCTCACCCTCCTCTCATTCTTTCACCCAGGACCCTCCATGGGTTCCAGCCCCCCACCCACCGGTCCCATCTCCACACCTGGTGAGTCCCTGAGGCCTCTGGCTCGAAGGGAGCGCAGCGACCCCCAGGGCAGCTTTGAGTGTCCAGGAGGATCCCATTCCCTTCAGGGACTCAATCAAGGGCTTCTGTCCAGGGAGCTGGGCAGAGCCAGAGGAGGGGCCACAGGGTCCCCAGGGCTCTGAGGCTGGGCTGGTGAGGGGTGGGGGATCGAGGCAGAGAGAAGTGTTGGGGCCCAGCCTGGGGGAGGAGCAGCCAGGCTGATGTGGGGAGCAGGGCAGCCCCAGCCCTCACCTCCCCCTCCTGACCCAGCAGGCCCTGAGGACCAGCCCCTCACCCCCACTGGGTCGGATCCCCAAAGTGGTGAGTGAGGGGCTCTGAGTGGGAGGTGGGCGGGGTCCCGGGGAGGCAGGGGTGGGTTCTGTCCTAGGTTCAGGCTCCTCTGGAGGTGGTGATGTAGACAGGCTCCTCCCCTGCCTGGGCCTCAGTTTCTCCAAGTGTAAAGGAGAGAGGCCTGCAGGTGGGAAAGTTCCTTTCAGCTCTCACTCCCAGCTGTGACCTCCTGGGAGAGGAGGCCCCTCAGGGAAGACTCCAAGACTCGATTCCGCGGGGGCCTGTCCCGTCCCACCTGCAGCAGAGACGGTGACCTGGGGCAGGGGAGGGGAGCAGAGTCGTGGTTCAGGACGGTCAGGCTCTTTCCCTGCAGCTCCGGGGCTCGGCTCTGGTGCAGGAACAAGGGCTGCAGGTCAGACTCCCGGGCTCCCTTCCCAGCTCTGCCGCTTCCTGGCTGGGGGCCCGGGGCAGGCGATTCCCCTCTCTGAGCGTCAGTTTTTCATCTGTAGAGTGGGTGGGGTGGATGTTTGTGTGCTGCACGACTGTTGTGGGGGTTGGAGGTGGTGAACAGAAGGTCCAGCAGTCACCTGCACACAGTAGGCGCTCATTTCAATGACATCACCCCCATCCCTGACATCATCGTGCTCAAGGTCTGGGAAGGCACCTGGGGGTTGTGATCGGCATCTTGGTGGCCGTCGTCCTACTGCTCCTCCTCCTCCTCCTCCTCTTCCTCATCCTCCGACATCGACGTCAGGGCAAACACTGGACATCAAGTGAGTAGGGAAGGGGAAACCCTGTGGGCCGACCGAGGGTGGGCTCAGGGCACAGCCAAAGAGAATCCAAACCACTGGGCAAATGCAGCTTTGAGAAACTGTTCCAGCATTTCTCACCAGGTGAATGGAGAAAGCACTTAACGTCAGTCCCATCTACAAATATAAAGTGTCCTCCGGGCTCAGTCCCATCTACAAATGTAAAGTGTCCTTCGGACTCTGTCCATCTCATGAGGCATTTGGAACATGGAGGCAGGAGTGTTTTTAGGTTTCCTTCCTTACCTTCGAGCTGTGTGTGCAGGGCAGGGGGCTCCAATGTTCCCAGGGCTGAGGCTCTGTCCTTCTTCCCCCAGCCCAGAGAAAGGCTGATTTCCAACATCCTGCAGGGGCTGTGGGGCCAGAGCCCACAGACAGAGGCCTGCAGTGGAGGTAATTCTGCCCGAAGACCCCAGACTCCCACCTGCTCGTGGCCCATACACTGCCCCTAAAGCTCCCATTCCTCCCCCAGGTCCAGCCCAGCTGCCGACGCCCAGGAAGAAAACCTCTGTGAGTGAGAGGAAGAGGTGACCAGCCAGGAGGGAGATAGGGGCCCCGAAGTTTCCGTAGCAATGGGGAAAGGGGCACCGGCTGGAAAGGGTCTGGGGCTCAGGGTGAGATCATCTCACCCCACACTGTGGGACCTCAGGGACATTGCAGCCCCTCCCTGCATCTCAGTAGCCCCATCTGGGAGCAGGGCAGGGGCTGGCAGGACTCAGAGGTCCCAGGGAACCTTCCCAAGAGACGAACCCCTTGCTCTGCCCCAGCAGATGCTGCCGTGAAGGACACACAGCCTGAAGATGGGGTGGAGATGGACACTCGGGTGAGACCCCGCCCCTGTCCCAGGCACCAAAGGCCTCCTGGTGCCAGATCTAATCCAGCAGGACTTCTCTGTCCTCCTTCCCCCGGCTCTCAGCATCGTCACGGTGGACCCCTCCTTGTCCAGCACGCTGCCTCCCGCCTGCTGTGACCTCACTCTCTCCTGCTGTCCTGGGACCTCGTGGGCCTCCTCCCGGGTCCCCTTCCTGCTCCTCATCCTCTGTTTGGCCGTCTGGTTGTTAGAGCGCTCCCCAGGCCTCTGGAGGATGAGGAATAAATGAACCACCCCGGTCCCCTGGGCTCCCCTTCATTCATTCAACCAGTGAGTGTTCCCAGGGAGCTCACTGTGGATCAGGCTCCCCATGGGAGCTGCAGACACAGCAGGGAGCAAAGCCGCCCCCGCCTCCTGAGCTCACCTCGTGGTGGGAGACAAAATGCAAATAAATGCGCCATGTCCAGGAGTGCAACGTGCTTAAAGGAACATACACCAGGGAAAGGGCAGAGAGTGTGGGGCAGTGGGGCCAGTCTGAATGGAAGGGGAGGGCTGTCTGCTCAGCTGTCATCTGAGAAGCCTGGACAGAGTGGGGCACACGATCCTCTAATGGACGAGCCCCTGCAGGCAGAGGAAACAGCCGTGCAAAGGCCCCGAGGCAGCAGCGAGCTCTTGCGGGAAGGCCCATGAGGCTGCAGCCAAATGGGCAAGGTCAGAGTGAGGAGCAGAGGCCAGAACCACAGGAAGGGAGCGGCCAGACCCTCCACGGCCTTAGGGCGTCCCTGAGATTCCATCGGGAAAGGGATGTAATCGGATCACCCCGGGAACAGTGAGGAAAATTGACTCCAGGAGGTCAGGGGGACTCAAGGACACCCCCCACCACTGTCTCTCTCCAGCAGAGCCCACACGATGAAGACCCCCAGGCAGTGACGTATGCCGAGGTGAAACACTCCAGACCTAGGAGAGAAATGGCCTCTCCTCCCTCCCCACTGTCCGGGGAATTCCTGGACACAAAGGACAGACAGGCAGAAGAGGACAGACAGATGGACACTGAGAGAGTCCTTTCCTCTCCAGGCCCCCAGGCCTCCCCCACCCCCACCACGTTCCTTACCTCTCACTCTCTCCCGCTGCAGGCTGCTGCATCTGAAGCCCCCCAGGATGTGACCTACGCCCAGCTGCACAGCTTGACCCTCAGACGGAAGGCAACTGAGCCTCCTCCATCCCAGGAAGGGGAACCTCCAGCTGAGCCCAGCATCTACGCCACCCTGGCCATCCACTAGCCCGGAGGGTACGCAGACTCCACACTCAGTAGAAGGAGACTCAGGACTGCTGAAGGCACGGGAGCTGCCCCCAGTGGACACCAATGAACCCCAGTCAGCCTGGACCCCTAACAAAGACCATGAGGAGATGCTGGGAACTTTGGGACTCACTTGATTCTGCAGTCGAAATAACTAATATCCCTACATTTTTTAATTAAAGCAACAGACTTCTCAATAATCAATGAGTTAACCGAGAAAACTAAAATCAGAAGTAAGAATGTGCTTTAAACTGAATCACAATATAAATATTACACATCACACAATGAAATTGAAAAAGTACAAACCACAAATGAAAAAAGTAGAAACGAAAAAAAAAAACTAGGAAATGAATGACGTTGGCTTTCGTATAAGGAATTTAGAAAAAGAATAACCAATTATTCCAAATGAAGGTGTAAGAAAGGGAATAAGAAGAAGAAGAGTTGCTCATGAGGAAAAACCAAAACTTGAAAATTCAACAAAGCCAATGAAGCTCATTCTTGAAAATATTAATTACAGTCATAAATCCTAACTACATTGAGCAAGAGAAAGAAAGAGCAGGCACGCATTTCCATATGGGAGTGAGCCAGCAGACAGCCCAGCAGATCCTACACACATTTTCACAAACTAACCCCAGAACAGGCTGCAAACCTATACCAATATACTAGAAAATGCAGATTAAATGGATGAAATATTCAAAACTGGAGTTTACATAATGAACGTAAGAGTAATCAGAGAATCTGACTCATTTTAAATGTGTGTGTATGTGTGTGTATATATATGTGTGTGTGTGTGTGTGTGTGTGTGTGAAAAACATTGACTGTAATAAAAATGTTCCCATCGTATCAACTCCAGTTCAGGAAGTTTCACTGGTGATTTCTTACAAATATTGACGCACTAATGAAACACACAAACACACCCAGAGCATCACAAATGTTTCTTGAGAATAGAAAAAGAGGCAATGTGCCCGGGTGCGGTGGCTCACGCCTGTAATCTCAACACCTAGGGAGGCAGAGGCCACAGATTACTTGAGGCCGGGAGTTCAAGACCAGCATGGCCAACAAGGCAAAACCCCATCTCTACTAAAAATACAAAAATTAGCTGGACATGGTGGCGCACGCTGCAATCCCAGCTACTTGGGAGGCAGAGGCAGGAGGATCACTTGAATGAACCCGGGAGGTGGAGGTTGAAGTGAGCAAAAACAAACCCCCTACAATTCAGCCTAGGATATGTTTATTAAATTTACATTTGTCTTTTTGCTTAAGATTGCTTTGGTATTCATCCTCTTTTTGGTTCCATATGAATTTTAGGATTTTTTTCTAATTCTGTGAAAAAAATGATGTTGATATTTTGATGGGAATTGCATTGAACCTAAATATTGCTTTGGGAAGTGTGATCATTTTCACAATATTGATTCTGCCAATCCATGAGCATGGGATATATTTCTATTTTGCTGTGTCATCTACGATTTCTTTCTGCAGCATTTTGTTGTTCTTCTTGTAGAGATCTTTCACCTCCTCAGTTAGGTATATTCTTAGATATTTTTAATTTTTTGCAACTGATGTACAAGGGATTGAGTTTTGCAGCAACCTGGATGAGCTGGAGGCCATTATTCATGACACCACATCCAGCTAATTTTTGTATTTCTTGTAGAGATGAGGTTTTGCCATGTTGCCCAGGCTGGTCTTGAACTCCTGGGCCCAAGTGACCCGCCCGCCTTGACCTCCCAAAGTGCTGGGACTGCAGGCATGAGCCACGGTGCCTGGCCCATCATAGCACTTTTGATCATTAGGATAATTCCTTCTCCTTGTCATTTTTGGACACATGCTTCCCACATGCCTCATCTTCCAGAGAGGGTTTCCACCAGGGCTGTGCTGGGAGTTAAGGCTGGAAAAGGGGAGATGGTTCCACCTGCCAGTGCCACATGAGTCTACTCAGGGCTGTAACCAGCAGGGAGGGTCCAGTGTGAGCCTCAGACTCGCATGTGGGACAGACGCCCATGTGTGACAACGCTGCAGTGAATCTGTTTCACACACATGGAGGAGGCGGCTCAGGGCTGACCATGGACCTGAGTCAATGAGCAGAGATATCCCAGTGCCATCCACAAACACAGGGGAGAAGGAGCCACAACTTCCCACTTTCATCCAAAACCCCGACCCCTCCCTGTCTGTGAGGGCCCTGGGGTTCTCCTCTGTCTCATACAGAGGCAGAAACCTCCCCCTTAGTGACCCCCAGCTTTGCAAGTCACCAGCAGCCCCTCGGCGCTGGCATCTTCTGCTTCTTAAGGTTTCCTGCCTATGACAGGAAGTCTCATTTCTCATTTTCTTCATTGGACCATGGCTACATATTTCAGACACATTATAAGTAGGTTTTCCCAGTGTTAGGAGCAGATGTGGGCTGTTGAGCACATAAGTCACTCACCGTGACTGTGCAGTCCAACACCAGGATCCACTCATGTTTCAACCCCCAAGACTTAACCCGGTCTGGAAATGTACCATGACTGAGGCCCTCCCATGACCCAGGCACCACTGGCCCCCAAAACCACTCAGGAGGGGGGTTCATGACAACAGGCTCCAAATGAGGAAACCGAGGCTCAGAGATGGGACTTACTGCCCAAGGTCATGCACGCAGGGATGAAGGTGAGCAATTCAGAAAAAATTAACTCCCTATCCCACCCCCAAATCAGAGCTCAAGACAAGTACTTGTTCCCAAAACCTTGAAGGCAGACTGAGATGCAGGGGAATGCCCAAGGAAGCGGGGCTGGGGGTGGGAGGGACGCCAAGGAGGCAGGAATGACTCAGAGGTTACTTTTAAGGGAGGGGGACCTGAACACTATTAAAAAAAATAGGAAGAAAAAAAAGAAGGGAAGTCTAAGAAGGAAACTGGAAGAAATAAAACCCATACTCCAAAGACAAAAGAAGAGTCAGCATTTCTTTATTTCTCCTTTTTTCTTCTCATTGCCAATTGCAGCTCAACTTGAATTTCACAGCCCGATGTGAGATGCGTCTCTGCTGATCTGAGCCTGTCCTGCAGCATGGACCTGCAACTTTCCTGAAGCATCTCCAGGGCTGGATGCCATGGTAAGGATCCCGCAATGCTGTGTTGATGGACAGGCTGAAGGAGGGAAGAGAACCCCACAGGGAGGCTCTGAGAAGAAGAACAAGCCCCCAGTCACCCTCACTTGGACAGGACAGACTCAGAAAGGTGCTGGGTCTGTCGGCTCCTACGTCCTGACCCTTGATGAGATGAAGACAGATGAGGCAAATCGCAGAAAAGGGTCAGGGAGATACCATTTCTGTATGAAGTATCTGAAGACAGCCTGGTGCCTGCCCCAGTCCCAGCCTTGGGGAAATGAAAGTCAAGCTCCCGGAGAGGGCAGTTCCCCTTCTTTTGGGGCTGATGACGGGACAACCTCGTGATGGAGAACCCAGGTTCCCAGTAGATTTACTCCATCCAGGAACGGTGGCCTCATCCATCTGCACAGCTGGGGGCTGTGGAGGAGACGCCATGACTCCCTCCCACAAACCTCTGATCTGTCTTGATGAAATTGAAAGAGGGAGAGGGGAGACTGTAGCCTGGAAGGAATCCCACCTCACAACTTGGTCCTGATTGAATAGAAGACCCCAGAGGTTCACAGAGATCCCAAGGTGGGGAGGATCTGCCCAGGGTTCAGGAGGCGAATCTCTCTCAGGAAGCTCCGTGACCCCCTCTCTAGTGTCACTCCTGTGCCTCAGTGGGATTTGGAGAGGATGCCTTAGATTAGAGGGTATTGTTCAGTGGGATTTGGAGAGGATGCCTTAGATTAGAGGGTATTGTGTCTTTCAGCAACAAAACCGTACAAAAAAACACCTGGACATTTCACATCAGTGGATAAAGCATATCTTGTGCCAAATCAGGACCAAACTGCGGTGAAATTTCGGGTTCACATTACAGTTAATCGCCTTTGAGGAAAGCATTCCAGGTTGGTGCCTATCTCTGCGATAAACGTCTCCCTTCCTGGCTACAGGTAATGGATTAAAGCGACACTGGCCGAACAGACACTGTCTTCACCCGATGATTATACTGAAAAATGGCCATAAATTTGTTCCCTCCAAATCCAATTCCCTTTGTGACAACTCTCAAAAGAAGATATACGAACGGTCCACAAACATATGAAAAACATGTATGTGTATGTGTGTATATACACACACACAGCACGGAATACTACTCAGCCACAAAAAGGGACAAAATAATGGCATTCGCAGCAACCTAGATGCAGTTGGAGACCATTATTCCAAGTGAAGTAATTCAGAAATGGAAAACCAAACATCATATGGTCTCATAAGTGGGAGCTAAACTATGAGGATGCAAAGGCATAAGAAGGATATAATGGAATCTGGGGACTCACAGGGAACAATGGGAGGGGGATGAGCGATAAAAGACTACACATTGGGTGCAGTGTACACTGCTCGGGTGATGAATGCACCAAAATCTCAAAAATCACCACTAAAGAGCTTATCCACGTAACCAAACACCACCTGTTCCCCAAAAGCTATTGAATTTTTTTTTAAAAAATAATAAATTAAAATAAATGTACTACATTAAAAACAACAACAAAATGGCAAAAATCCAATTGCACATAGCAAAATGTTTTCGTGGTCTCTGCACGCTAGAGCATGTAATTGGTCTTTGTTCCTTTCTACTGTTGAAGAATATTCCATTCTATGCCTATATCACATTTGGTTTATGCATTCACCAATTGATGGACATTTGGGTTGTTTTCACTATTTAGCTATCATGAATAATGACAAAAAAAGGACATATATTTGTTTGGGTTTTTTTATTTTTAAAAGGTTACAATTATTTATTTATTTATTTATTTACTGAGACAAAGTTTCACTCTGTCGCCCAGGCTAGAGTGGAGTTGTGAGATCTTGGCTCACTGCAACCAGTTCAAGCAAATTTTTGTGCCTCAGCCTTCTGAGTAGCTGGGATTACAGTTGTGCACCACCACAGGAGGCTATTTTTTTTAATTTTAGTAGAGACAGGGTTTCGCCGTGTAGGCCAGGCTGGTCTCGAACTCCTAGACTCAAGCCTTCCACTCGCCTCAGCCTCCCAAAGTGCTGGGATTAGAGGCGTGAGCCATCACACCATGCCAAAAGGTTATAATCATTTAAATTCGGGTTGCAACTGTATGCTTACAATTCTCTACATTTAGATTTAAAAACATTTTATTGATGGTCAATCTGGAACATAATTAATGCATCTTAATTAAGTTTCCACTGATGTATATAGAAGGCTAAAGGCTGAAGTTTTATTCACCTCTAGTAGAGTAACCAACCATAAAATCATTAGTTACTTTCAACTTCATAACTAATTGACATTTCCCAAATGAGCTGTCTTTAATCCTGATAGTTCTTTAGTTTTAAAAATATATTTGCCATGGGATGCTGATTTGCAATGGGTGTCATAATGAGAATAACCAAAATTGGGTAAACGTGACAAAATGTTGACAAAATGTTTCACACCCTTAAATTACACAACGTCAATAATGAGGAGAAAGCATTGCAAAAGGAGACTACTGCAATGCTACTTATATTCTTGCAATAAAACCAGCAAAGCATCCACATCAAGAGAGTTCTCATCTCACTTCCAACTTCTTCCCCTCAAGAACAATTTGAATCTCTTTGGCACCTAAAGTCTCATAGGTCAATAAAGCTTCTGCTAGATTCTTATGCTCCTCTGCATGACTTTTCAAGATAAGTTTTGCTCATTTTTTTTTTAAGGTTTGCATCATTCTTCTTCATTTTTGACTTGATTTTCCATTCAACATCACCAACAAGTTTTTAGCGAAATGTAATAATTATATAATTAAACATCTTTCATGGATCACCCTATCCATCTCTACTATATAAATTTAAGATTCTAAATGTTTTAAAAATACTTCTTGATTATGGTTATTAATTGTTCACATGTCCACTGGTAAATATTACTTATTCCTAGACTGAAACAGAGCTAAACGTCAATACTATATCTAGTTTTCATTTGTATAGATACAGGACTGAGAAAATTTGTTCATCTAAATAAATACTATGGATGGGGTAGGATGGTGTTTTGTTATAACCATGTCATACAATTATTTGAATTTTGAATAAGTTTTGCTCATTTATATGAGTCCCTTAGAATGGTTCTTATTTCATGTTCAATAGCAGATTGAGTTTCTGGACTTAGTTTCCCTGTGTCACTGTAGGTCATAACTCCAAGCTTTTCGCTAATTCCAAATTTGATAACCATCTGCTTTGCCATTTTAGTGGCATTAGCAAAATCACTGGAAGCACCTGTTGTAATATGGTCAATTCCAAATATAAGCTCCTCTGCCACTCTTGCTCCCATACTAATGTCCATTTGTGCAAGCAGCTGGGCTCTGGTTTCATTCCATCTGTCATCACCAGGTAATGGGGACACAGGTCCAAATGTTGGCCCCTGTGGCATGATTGTAGCTTTGTTGATAGACATTTCATCTTTTGTGTAATATGCAATAATGGCATGACCAGATTCATGATAAGTTGTGATGGATTTGTTTTTGTTATCAATTTCTGTACTTCTTCTGTCAGGCCACATTATAATTTTGTCTTTGGAAAACTTCAGTTCCTTCATGGTAACCACTTCTTTTCCATCAACAGCTACAAAAGGACGTGTATTTGGTGTGATTTTATGCACATGAAATATCCAGAATAGACAAAGCCATAGAAACTGAGAGTAGACTAGTGATTTCTTAAGGCTGAGGGAAGGGAAGAACTAGGACTGACTACTTGGGGGTTCTTTCTGAGGTGATGGAAATGCTGTGGGATGAGGTAGGGATGGTGATTGCACAGCATAGTGAAGACACTAAAATCCATTTATTTGTACACTAAAAAATGGTGCATTTCATATGGTGTGAGTTATGTCACATAACTCAGTAAGTAAATAAATAATTCATATCCCGGCTTCTGCCCAGGGTTTGGGGAGCTGGAAAGAGTTTCACTAGCTGGGTGCGGTGGCTCACACCTGTAATCCCAGCATTTTGGGAGGCTGAGGTGGGTGGATTGCCTAAGGTCAGGAGTTTGAGACGAGCCTGGAAAACATAGTGAAACCCTCTCTCTACTAAAAATACAAAAAAAAAGCTGGGCATGGTGGCACATGCCCGTAATCCCAGCTACTGGGGAGGCTGAGGCAGGAGAATCACTTGAACCCAGGAGGCAGAGGTTGTAGTGAGCCAAGAACACGCCATTGCACTCCAGCCTGGGCAACAAAAGCGAAACTCCATCCCTCCCCCTCCCTCCCCCACTCCAAAAAAAGAGCTTCTCTGCAATCCTAACCATGAGTAAAACTCAGATCAACTCCATAATGTAGATTTCACCTGAGACCATCAGAAATCCGAGCTCTGGGAGCAACTGAGTAACCTGAATTCCAAGGAGGAGTAGGATGCCATGACAGGCTCTACAAAGGCAGAACACATGAGGGTGGGAGACTGCCATACAAGCTGGGAAGGAGGAATCAGATGATATTGTCATGAATTCCTCAAGAGTCAGTGTTTGCTGGCCTCCAAGAGGCAAGGATCTCTGGGAACTTAAGACAGAGAAGCACTTCACACTCACCCATGAGCTCTTTTCCGTGGGTCTCAACTGGGCATTCACAACATAGATTGGAAGTAAGGTGGAGACCCAAAATTTGTGATCAGACATGATTACCTTCCACAGTGTGTGGCCTGAAATCTCACCCCCTGCCCAGATACTTCTCCCATGTGTAGAAAAAGACTGAAGTCATTGAGAGAGGTTCAGAAAAACCAGCCAATCTCAGGCCCCAGGTAAAAACCCATTGTGGATATAAGAAGGTAGATTTAAAAGTCCCTCTATCCCTAGGAGTACTGCAGAAAATTCCTGAAACCATAATCCCAGATATACAAATGTCAGGGAAGGGACAGGAAATTCCTGCCCAAGTCAACCAAAGCTACCAAGTACAATCCAGCTGCCAAGGGGAAGAAGGACACAAACACTGAGCAAGCTCCACCCTCAAGGCCCACTCATATAGAAATTGTCCAAGACTGAGGCTGGGTGAGGACAGGAGAAATTTATACTCCCTACCATGAGCCTATCCCTGAGAAGCAAGCAAGAGCAGTCCACAGCTGGGGGAGGCACCAGGTGGAGTACAGAATTGATGCAGTGGAATCCATCCAGCTGTGGGGTCAGCAGGCCCAATGCAAGCAGGAGGGGCCCGTGAATGGGATAGCCATGGAGCAAGAAAGGAGGACATGCATGAACCCAACACCAGTGACTCCCTCTCACCAAGGACCACGTAGCCACCACTGTAGCTGAAAGTCTCACCTGTGACCAGCAGAGAGGTCTGGATGTGATGCCTGGTAGTAACTTGATGCCATGGAACACATTCCACCCACGAGGGGGCAGCAAACCTTCCTTAGTCTGAAGGATGCTTGTGCTGAAAATGGGTTTGACGGAGCTCCTCGCAGGGGTCTGTGAGCACTCAGAATGTCTGACTTGTTTAAACGAAATAACCCATGACTTATTCTCAGAATGGGAATCCAGATGCCCACAAAATCCGTGGAGGGAATGAGAACATGGCCACGTGATATTCTGGGAATGACCTGAGATATGTACTATGCAGTGGTTTGGTTTTACTGGGACTGAAAGAACATTGAAATGGCCTCTTGAAATTGGATGTATTGAACAGTTTGTGAATGAGACTCTGCAGTTTGGGGGTTCTGTTACAGTAGCTGTAAATAAGCATACAGAAAGCTGTAGATGATATACATACAGATATAGCTATAAAGACAATAAATGGACCAGGTGCGGTGGCTCACGCCTGTAATCCCAGCATTTTGGGAGGCCAGGGCAGGTGGATCACCTGAGTTCAGGAGTTCGAGACCAGCCCGATCAACATGGTGAAACGCCATCTCTATTAAAAATACAAAAATTAGCCAGGCGTGGTGCTGCTCGCCTGTAATCCCAGCTACTTGGGAGGCTGAGGCAGGAGAATCGCCTGAACCCGGGAGGCGGAGGTTGCAGTGAGCCAAGATTGCACCATTGCACTCCAGCCTGGGCAACAAGGGCAAAACTCCGTCAAAAAAATAAAAAATAATAAAAAATAAATAAAACAATAAATCATGGTATGTCTTTTGACAGGTAGAATGCATGGGCTTGGGAGTAAAGTGAGAGTTTAATGAACAGCATCTATCACTAACTTTACAGATGACACACTTGGGAGATGTGCACATCCTGTGACTGCACTTTTAGGTGACCCTGGGTTAGAAGATCTGCCTGGTAAGAAACCACTACCAGGGAACAACACAAAAATTACTCTGTACCTAAAATGATGATGTAGCTGGTTTTCCTTGGGTTTCCTCATTACAGTACATCAGCAGGTAAGGAGAAAGATATCATACTGGCCTGGGTAATTTTCTTTAACGATGAGGAGGAGGATTTGGTGAAGAGAGGGTGGTTGGGCAGCTTAGATAATTCACTGTGGCAGTGATGAATTCTCCATAGCTGGAGGTAACCATGACTGGGGTTGGGGTTTGCACTGTGTCTCCAAAAAGGTATGTTGACATCCTAACCTCCCGTAGCTGTGAATATGAACTTATTTGGAAATAGGATCTTTGCAGGTATAATTAGTTAAGATGTGGTCATGCTGGCTTCGGGCAGGATCTAAATCCAATATTGCTCACATCTTTATAAGACATGAAGAAGACACACAGAGAAGAATAGGATGCCATGTGAAGATGGAGGCAGAGATTAGAATGAGAAGTCTGTAAACCAAGGAATGCCAAGAAATGCCAGCAAGGACCAAAGTCTAAGAAAAAGGCACAAAAGTGGCCGGGCGTGGTGGCTCATGCCTGTAATCCCAGCACTTTGGGAGGCCGAGGCGGGCAGATCATGAGGTCAGGAGATCGAGACCATCCTGGCTAACATGGTGAAACCCCGTCTCTACTAAAAATACAAAAAAATTATCCGGGTGTGGGGGCGGGCACCTGTAGTCCCAGCTACTGGGGAGGCTGAGGCAGGAGAATGGCATGAACCCGGGAGGCGGAGCTTGCAGTGAGCCGAGATCGCGCTACTGCAGTCCAGCCTGGGAGACAGAGCGAGATTCCATCTAAAAAAAAAAAAAAGAAAGAAAGAAAGAAGGAAAAAGCACAGAAGTTTCTTCTTCAGAGCCTCTAGAAAGAAGAAATTATATGAACATTTTGATTTTTTATTTCTGGCCTGCAGAACTCTGAGAGAATAAGTTTATCTTCTTTTTATTCAATACTTTGTGATAATTTGTTATATCAGCCTCCAAGAAACTAACACAATGGGCAACTCCCACAAGAAAGCCTGAAACAGGCACAATAATCAGGTGCTCAGATGCCTCAAGGTTGAAATTTATGTTTATTTCATTGGGCCGATAGTTGAGACAAGTAGAGTTTCTCATGCGAACTCTGGCAGAAGGTAAGCAGAACCTAGAGAGGGTGATAGACAGCAAAGCTGGTAAATATAAAGGATGACCTCGGGGTCAATTACAACAGAGAACACTGTACTTCTCCCCATTCACACCCATATGCTTTGTTTGCCTCATTTGTAGATAAATGTGTCCAGTGTGTTGTTGCTTTGGCAGCACATATACCAAAATCAGAATGATACAGAGAAGATCAGCATGGCAGCTGCACAAGGATATTAACAAATTTCATGAAGCATTTTATATATATATATTTTTTTTTAATGTGTCCAGCAAAGACCTGGAAGAAGTTATAGTGTGAAAAGACATGAACATGAAGTTCATGGGGCTATGAGCAGGGCAAAGTGTGGACTGCAACAGACAGGACAGACCCTGGTGATGCCCCATCGATGTTGCCTGGATCATGTCTTTTTTTTTTTTTTTTTTTTTTTTTTGAGACAGGCAGAGTTTTGCTCTTGTTGCCCAGGCTAGAGTCCAATTTTTGAGATGGAGTCTCACTCCGTCACCAGGCTGGAGTGCAGTGGCGCAATCTCGGCTCACTGCAACCTCCGTCTGCCGGGTTCAACTGATTCTCCTGCCTCAGCCTCCTGAGTAGCTGGGACTACAGGCGTGCACCACCACACTGGGCTAATTTTTGTATAATAGTGTGAGTTAATACTTAATAAACACTCGTATATATATATATATATATACACACACACATATATATATGGTGTATATACATATATATGTATGTGTATATATACACACATATATATACACACACATATATATACACACATGCATATATATACACACATATATGATTTTATATATATATATGTATACACACACACACACCAGGCTAATTTTTGTATAATAGTGTGTTAATACTTAATAAACACCCATATAGATATGGTGTATATACATATATATGTATGGTATATATATGTAGGGTATATATATACACACATATATACACACACATATATACACACAAACATATATGTACACACATATATATACACACACATATATATACACACATATATGTACACACACATATATTTTTTGATATGTGTACATATATATACACCAGATACGATTATATATATATACACACAAACATATATATACACACATATATATACACAGAAACATATATATACACACATATATACACACAAACATATATATACACACACATATATATACACACACATATATACACACACATATATACATACACATATATATACACACAAACATATATACACACACATATATATACACACATATATACACACACATATATACATACACATATATATACACACATATATACATATATTTTTTGATATGTGTATATATACACACATATATATACCCCAGATATGATTTTATATATATACACACATATATATACACACATATATATAAACAAACATATATATACACACACATATATATACACACAAACATATATACACACACATATATACACACACATATACACACACATATATATACACACAAACATATATGCACACACATATATACACACACATATACACACACATATACACACACATATATACACACACATATATACACACACATATATACACACACATATACATATATATTTTTGATATGTGTATATATACACACATATATATACACCAGATACGATTTTACACACACACACACACACACATATATACGCCATTAGTTGTGTCCCTCTAGAGAACCCTAATACACAGCGTGTCACACTAGCGCAGGCACAGGCCATCACTCTTGTGAACACCCAAGGCACCGTTTCCACTTCAGCTCGGTCCCTGAGGGTCAGGATGCATCTGCCACTGGGAAAGGTGGATCGAGTGGCTCTAGGCAGCTTGGCACGACAGGGTAGTATAGAGCAACAGCTCAGCCTGGGGATGGCAGGCCACCAGGCAAGGCTGGCTCAGCAGTGACAATCCCTCAGCAGTGAAAGGATGCTGCGGCTACGTGTCCCCCAGAGATCCAGAAGTAGATCCCATTCCACAATGGCATAGTGCCAGAGCCGTGATGGCCGTGGACAGTGGGGCACAGTGTCAGTCTTTTCTCCTGGGTGAGTGCAGCTGTGTGGAATCTGGGTAGCTCCGTCAGCTGTGCTTAGTGTCTGTGAAAGGGAATCTCCAATGGTGAGATCTACAGGTGTCCAAAGTGTTGATGGAAGCTGCTAGGTCTTTTTCTCAGCTTTTTCCAGCAAGGAGAAGTCCCTCTTTATTCCAAGCTGATCCTGACTGAAGGATGGGGTGATAGAGGTGCAGTGCTACTTTCATTTATTACGTGGCCATCCTGTGATTTTTAATGAAATGGCTAAAATGGCAGACATAGAATTCAGAATCTGGATGCCAAACTAAGATCACTGAGGTTCAGAAGAAAGTTGAAACCCAATCCAAGGGATATAAGGAACCCAGTAAAATGACACCAGAGGTGGAAGATGAAATAGACATTTTAAGAAAGAAAGAAACTGATTTTATAGAGCTGAAAAACTCATTACAAAAATTGCATAATATAATAAAAAGTAGTAACGGCAAAATAGACCAAGGTGAGAAGAAAATCTCAGAGCTCAAAGACTGCTTCTATGGCCAGGCGTGGTGACTCACGCCTGTAATCCCAGCACTTCGGGAAGCTGAGGCGGGCGGATCAACTGAGGTCAGGAGTTCGAGACCAACCTGACCAACATGGTGAAACCCCATCTCTACTAAAAATACAAAATTTGCCGGACGTGGTGGTGCATGCCTGTAATCCCAGTTACTAGGGAGGCTGAGGCAGGAGAATTGCTTGAACCCATGAGGTGGAGGTTGCAGTGAGTCAAGATTGTGCCATTGCACTCCAGCCTGGGCAACAAGAGCGAAACTCCATCTCAGAAAACAAAAATAAAAACAAAATTAAAAAAGACTGCTTCTGTGAATCAACGCAGTCAGACAAAAATAAAAAAAATAGAATTTAAAAGAATGAACAAAACCTCTGAGAATTATGGGATTATGGAAAGAGACAAAACCTATGACCCATTGGCATCCCTGAGTAAGAAAGGAAGCAAGCAACTTGAGAAACATATTTGAGAATATTATCAATAAAAATTTCCCCAACCGCACTAGAGAGCCAACATTCACATTTAGGAAACTCAGAACACCCCAGTGAGATACTATACAACAAAACCATCCACAAACAACATACTCATCAACTTCTCCAAGATCAACGTGAAAGAAAATTATTCATGGCAGCTAGAGAGAATAGGCCAGTCATCCAAAAGACGTACCTCATCAGGCTAACAGTGAACCTTTCAGCATAACCCTAAAAGTCAGAAGATATTAAAGATATTAGGGTATATTTTCAGCATTCTTTTTTTTTTTTTTTTGAGACAGAGTCTCGCTCTGTCACCCAGGCTGGAGTCACCCAAGCAGCGACTGTGTGCTTGGGGAAGGGAGAAGGCAGGACTGAACTCAATGCTGCCCTGTCACACTGGAAAGCCACACTGGGCTGATTGCAACTGATGCCCGTTCATGGAGAAAGCATTTGATGAGCTCTACCCAAAGGGGAACTGCCCAGAAAATCAGTTGGAACTTGAGATTCAGCAAGTCCCACCTGAGACCTCAGGCTAAAGTGCTCTGGGTTTGTTTTTTTGTTTTGTTTTGGTTTTAGATGGAGTCTCGCTCTGTCATCCCAGGCTGGAGTGCAGTGGTGCAATCTCGGCTCACTGCAACCTCTGCCTCCCAGATTCAAGCGATTCTACTGCCTCAGCCTCCCAAGTAGCTGGGACTACAGGCACGTGCCACCATGCCCAGTTAATTTTTGTATTTTTAGTAGAGATGGGATTTGGCCATATTGGCCAGGCTGGTCTCAAACTCCTGACCTCATGATCTGCCCGCCTCAGCCTCCCAAAGTGCTGAGATTACAGGTGTGAGTGACTGCGCCTGGTCTGGGGTCTTAAACAAGCTTGAAAGAGTCTAGGCCACAAGTACTGTGATTCCTGGGAAAATCCTAGTGCTGTGCTGAGTTTGGAGCCAGTGAATTTAGAGAAATCAGCAAACGTAGCTAAGGGTGTACTTGTTTCATCCCTCCCACTACCCAAGGCAGCACAACTTGTAGCAACAAAAGTGATTCCTTCCTTCTGATTGAAGAGAGGAGAGGGAAGAATAAAGAGGACTTTGTCTTTTATCTTGGATACCCACTCAGCCACAGTAAGATAGGGCAACAGGCAGAGTCCTGAGGTCCCCATCCCAGATGCTAGCTCCTGGACAACATTTTTCCACATACCCTAGGCCAGAAGGGAAATTGCTGCCTTGTGGGGAAGGATTTAGTCCTGGCAGAATTCATCACTTGCTAACTGAAGAGCTCTCAGGCCCTGAATAACCAGCAGCAATATACAGGTACTATGTCGTGGGCCTTAGGTGAGACTCTGAGACTTGCTGGCTTCAAGTGAGACTCAGCACCTTCCCAGCCATGTTGACTGTGGGGTGAGAAAAGTGGAAGAAAAAGTAAAAGGGACTTTGTATTGCACCTTAGGTACCAGCTCAACAACAGGGGATAGAGTGCCAAGTAGGCTCTCAGGTCCTCAATTCAAGGACTTTGCTCTTAGAGATCATTTCTGGACCTGCCCTGGGCCTGGGCAGAGCCCAGTGTCATGACGGATGAATAGCAGGCCAGGAAGCCTTCACCACAAGCTGACTGAAGATCCCTTAGGGCTTAAGAGAACACTGGCAGTTCTCCCTGTAAGCCTGTTGTGGCAGTGGTCATGGCATGAGGCTCCTTTGCCTTAAGAAAGGGGAGGGATGAGTAGGAAGGACAGTATCTTGTGGCTTGAGTGCCAGGTCAGCTGCAGTGCAATAGAACGCCGGGTGGACTTCAAGGATTTTATTTATTTATTTATTATTATTATTATTATTATTATTTTGAGATGGAGTTTCACTCTTGTCACCCAGGCTGGAGTGCAATGGCTTGATCTCGCCTCACCGCAACCTCCGCCTCCCGGGTTCAAGCAATTCTCCTGCCTCAGCCTCCTAAGTAGCTGGGATTACAGGCATGCACCACCACGCCCAGCTAATTTTTTTGTATTTTTAGTAGAAACGGGGTTTCTCCATGTTGGTCAGGCTGGTCTCAAACTCCCGACCTCAGGTGATCCGCCCGCCTCAGCCTCCCAAAGTGCTGGGATTACAGGCGTGAGGCACCACGCACGGCGGCGGAATCTGTTAAACACAAAAACGGGAGAGGTGGCCCCATGCTGATCATGGACTTCAGTCAGTGGGCAGAGATATCCCAGCTCCTGTCCACAAGCACGAGCAAGGGTGAACCACAGCTTTTCTTTTCCTTTTTTTTTTTTCTTTTTTTGAGACGGAGTCTCACTCTGTCCCCCAGGCTAGAGTGCAGTGGCGCGATCTCAGCTCACTGCAAGCTCTGCCTCCCAGGTTCACACCATTTTCCTGCCTCAGCCTCCCAAGTAGCCGGGACTACAGGCGCCCGCCACCACGCCCGCTTAATTTTTTCTATTTTTTTTTTTTTAAGTAGAGACGGGTTTTCACCGTGTTAGCCAGGATGGTCTCGATCTCCTGACCTCGTGATCTGCCCATCTCAGCCTCCCAAAGTGCTGGGATTATAGGCGTGAGCCACCGCGCCGGGCCGGGCCACAGCTTTTCATCTTCATCTGGAGCCCCTACCCCCTCCCTTTCCATGAGGACCTGGGGTTCCTCTTCTGTCCCACACAGAAGTGGAAATTTCCTCCCTAATGACCCTGGGACAGTCTTAGACACAAGCAGGCTGTCAGCTTTCAAGTTTGTTCTTTGATGTGCAACCTTCTCAAATTAAAGAACTTTTCATTTCTTTTTCTGCACAAAACTTTCATAATCTACATATTTCGGATGTATAATCTACATATTTCAGATGTGTGTATGTGTGTGTGTGTATATATATATATATATATGTATGTTTTGAGACAGGGTCGTGCTCTCTCACCCAGGCTGGAGTGCAGTGCTATGATCATACCTCACTACAGCCTGGACCACCCAGGCTCAAGCAATCTTCCCACCTCAGTGTCCCAAATAGTTGGGACTGCAGTCGTGCACAAACATACCTGATTATTTCTTCTTTGTTATATGCAGAGACGGGGTCTCACTATGTTCCCCAAGCTGGTCTTGAACTTCTGAGCTCAAGGGATCCTCCATCCTCAGCCTCCCTAGGTGCTCAGATTACAGGGGTGGGCCACCGTGCCGGGAACTTCAAACATAAGGAGCATTTCTTGGTATTTGGAGCAGATGTGGGCTCTTGAGTTGGGGCATCAATCATCCTCCTCTACTACGGAGCTCAATGCCAGGATCCTCTCACACCCCAACCACTCCTGTCTTAATCTGGTCTGGAAATTCACCATGGCCAAGCCCCCTCCCATGTCCCAGGCACCACTGAGCCCCACATCCACTCTGAGAAGCTGAGGTCATGACCACAAGTTCCAAAAGAGAAAGGCTCAAGCAAGCCACTTTGCTGTCCAAGGTCACATAATCGGTGGAATTAGGAAGAAAATTCAGCTCCCCACTCCACCCCATGAATCAGATGACAAACCTGAGTAATTGTTCTGAAAACCTTGAACATGGTTGGAGGCACAGAGGGACGGCCAAGGACAAAGGGGCACTGAGGAGGCAGGAACGACTTAGAGGTTCATTCCCAGCGGAGGGGTTTTGTTGCTCTGCCCTAGCCCTTGGTGAGCTGAGTATAGGTCAGGCCGACAGCGGCTAGGGCTCAGGGAGACCCCATTTCTGTCTGAAATGTCTGCAGAGAGCCTGGAGCTCACCCCAGCCCCATCCCTGGGGAAATGAGAGCCAGGCTCTTGGGGAGGGCAGTTCCCCTTCCTGTGGGGCTTCCGATGGGACAGTCTTGTGACAGGGAGAACCCAGCCTCCAGTCCACACTCTGCGTGTTTTTGTGTCCTGCCAGGCACCGTGGTCTCATCCGCCTGCACAGCTGAGTCCAGTGGGAGCTGACGCCATGACCCTCACCCTCTCAGTCCTGATTTGCCTCGGTGAGGTTTGAAGAGGGGGAAGGAAGGTCCCCGTCTTGGAGGGAGCTCACTCTAAAGCGAGGCTCTGGTCTATCAGAGAATCTGGTCTATCAGAGGCTCCGAGGGAGGAGAGGAACTGCTGGGGCTTCCAGGGGCAAATCCCTCACAGGGAACTCTCTTCCAGGGCTGAGTGTGGGCCCCAGGACCTGCGTGCAGGCAGGTGAGTCTGTCCCCAGCTGTCCCAGGTCCCTTCTTCTCACTGGGGACAAGGGCCCAACCCCGGGCAGCTGGGGGTGGAGATAGCTGTTCTGGGCTGACTGATGGGGACGTCTGGAGGGTCCTGGGGCTGAGAGCTGGAATCTGAGGGATGGGGATGTCTTGGGATCCAGCCTCTGATTCCATTCTAGGCACCCTCCCCAAACCCACCCTCTGGGCTGAGCCAGCCTCTGTGATAGCTCGGGGGAAGCCCGTGACCCTCTGGTGTCAGGGGCCCCTGGAGACTGAGGAGTACCGTCTGGATAAGGAGGGACTCCCATGGGCCCGGAAGAGACAGAACCCACTGGAGCCTGGAGCCAAGGCCAAGTTCCACATTCCATCCACGGTGTATGACAGTGCAGGGCGATACCGCTGCTACTATGAGACCCCTGCAGGCTGGTCAGAGCCCAGTGACCCCCTGGAGCTGGTGGCGACAGGTGAGAGGACACTCAGGGGTCCCAGCCCCAGGCTCTGCCCTCAGGAAGAGGGTCGGCTCTTAGGGACGTCTACCTCTCACAGCCCAGCCCTGGGGATGATGTGGGAGGTCGGAGCCCCACTTAAGACGTGCCTCCTTCTCTGCTAGGATTCTATGCAGAACCCACTCTTTTAGCCCTGCCGAGTCCTGTGGTGGCCTCAGGAGGAAATGTGACCCTCCAGTGTGATACACTGGACGGACTTCTCACGTTTGTTCTTGTTGAGGAAGAACAGAAGCTCCCCAGGACCCTGTACTCACAGAAGCTCCCCAAAGGGCCATCCCAGGCCCTGTTCCCTGTGGGTCCCGTGACCCCCAGCTGCAGGTGGAGGTTCAGATGCTATTACTATTACAGGAAAAACCCTCAGGTGTGGTCGAACCCCAGTGACCTCCTGGAGATTCTGGTCCCAGGTGAAAAAGCCACCACACTTCTTTATATAATTTTGGGGAACCAGATAGGTTGTTGGGAGTTTGGTTGATGACTGATCATGGCAAGGACCCCAGAAGGATGTGTTGATGGATGGGCTGAAGGCGTGAGGAAGACCCCACGGGGAGGCTCAGATGGGGAAACAGGAGCCTGAGTCACCCTCACCTGGAAGGGGTCGACTCAGGAAGGCAATGGGTGTATTTGCTGCAATTTCCTGTCCCTCAATGAGGAGAGGACAGACCAGACAGACAGTGGCCAGGAGTCAGAGAGACACTATCGGTCTGGAACTACTCCAAGACAGACCCAGGTGAGAAGGAGACCCCGGGATCCGAGACACAGAGCGTGAGAGACAGTGAGACCTGCAGGGCCAGGACGCCAGGACGGGAGAAGGAAGGGGCGGGGGAGGAACCAGCCTTCCAAGTCCCAATTCCTCTTTCCCTCCAGGCGTGTCTAGGAAGCCCTCCCTCCTGATCCCGCAGGGCTCTGTCGTGGCCCGCGGAGGCAGCCTGACCCTGCAGTGTCGCTCTGATGTCGGCTATGACATATTCGTTCTGTACAAGGAGGGGGAACATGACCTCGTCCAGGGCTCTGGCCAGCAGCCCCAGGCTGGGCTCTCCCAGGCCAACTTCACCCTGGGCCCTGTGAGCCGCTCCCACGGGGGCCAGTACAGATGCTACGGTGCACACAACCTCTCCCCTAGGTGGTCGGCCCCCAGCGACCCCCTGGACATCCTGATCGCAGGTGAGGAGCCCAGCGGGTTCAGTCAGGGACCCAGGCTCCGCACAGGCCCTGCCGGGGGAATCCAATTAGTGATGGCCGGGATGAGGCGGGGGGGTGGTCCCAAGGGAGGGAGAGACAGACAGAGACAGGGGATGGGTGGGGAGGGGAAGACTCAGAGAAAACAGAGACAGAGGCTCCTAGAGAGGCCTGGGGAGGTCTCAGCTCAGAGCAAGGTGGGGCAGCCCCTCACCCATCCTTCTTCTCTCCAGGACTGATCCCTGACATACCCGCCCTCTCGGTGCAGCCGGGCCCCAAGGTGGCCTCAGGAGAGAACGTGACCCTGCTGTGTCAGTCATGGCATCAGATAGACACTTTCTTTTTGACCAAGGAGGGGGCAGCCCATCCCCCGCTGTGTCTAAAGTCAAAGTACCAGTCTTATAGACACCAGGCTGAATTCTCCATGAGTCCTGTGACCTCAGCCCAGGGTGGAACCTACCGATGCTACAGCGCAATCAGGTCCTACCCCTACCTGCTGTCCAGCCCTAGTTACCCCCAGGAGCTCGTGGTCTCAGGTGAGGGCCCTGACCCTGTCCTGTCCAAGCTCAAAGGCTCAGCTCAGGCCCTGCCCCCAGGAGAGCTCTGGGCTGGGATGGAGTCGCGGTGCGGGGGGGAGGGTTTGAGGGGGGCTCAGCCAGAGGGAGACTCACCCCTCAGAGGGGAGGAGGACAACGGGGGCTCCCCAGGCATGCCCACACTTGGCCCCATCTCCTGGGATGCAAATGGTGAAAGGTGAGCAGAAGAAAGTTTCCAGAGAAGCCACGGGCAGGTGGAGGGACGGGTTTCCTCACTCAGCACCAAAGCGCCTCGCTCCCTTTCTGTGCTTATTCCCAGGACCCTCTGGGGATCCCAGCCTCTCACCTACAGGCTCCACCCCCACACCTGGTGAGTCACTGAGGCCTCTGGGCTCGGAGGGAGCGTGGTCTCCCCCCAGGCAGCCCTGAGTCTCCCCGAGGATCCTATTCCCCTCAAAGACTCAAGCGGGAGCTTCCCTCCAGGGAGCTGGGCAGAGCCAGAGGAGGGGCCACAGGCTCCCCGGGGCTCTGAGGCTGGGCCGGTGAGGGGGCGGGCGTCGAGGCAGAGAGAGATGTTGGGTGTTGGGGCCCAGCCTGGGGGAGGAGCAGCCGGGCTGATGTGGGGAGCAGGGCAGCCCCAGCCCTCACCTCCCCGTCCTGACCCAGCAGGCCCTGAGGACCAGCCCCTCACCCCCACGGGGTTGGATCCCCAGAGTGGTGAGTGAGGGGCTCTGAGTGGGAGGTGGGCGGAGACCAGGGGAGGCAGGGGTGGGTTCTGTCGTAGGTTCAGGCTCCTCTGGAGATGGTGAAGTGCACAAGCCCTTCCCCTGCCTGGGCCTCAGTTTCTCCAAGTGTAAAGGAGAGAGGCCTGCATTGATGGGATTCTTCAGGGGACTGTCCTGTCCCACCGGCAGCAGTGACAGTGACCTGGGGCAGGGGAGGGGAGCAGGGCCGTGGTTTGGGGCATTCAGGCTCTTTCCCTGCAGCTCCGGGGCTCCGCTCAGGTGCAGAGAACAAGGGCTGCGGGTCAGACTCCTGGGTTCACTTCCCAGCTCTGCCGCATCCCACCGTGGGCCCAGGCAGGTCAACTTTCTACTCTGACTCAGTTTCAGCAGCTGTAAACTGGCTCAGTCCCATCCAGCTCACAGAACTGCTGCGAGGCGTAAGCAAAATCATGGGACCTGGCCCTGTACACAGCTCGGCAGGGGCACCGTCCTCCTGCTACCCTCAGCCCTTCCCAGATACACACAGAGCCCCTATCCAGACAGGTTCTGCATGGGAGTATGGGAACTTGGCAGAGTGGGAAACGGACCTGGCTGAGCTGGGAGTGAGAGCAATGCAGGGTCCGTCCTGCACAACCCACTCCCTCTCCCAGGCCCTGCTGTGCTGGGGAAGGGAGGATCCTAAGAAGGACACCAGCCCCAGATGGAGACACTAGGACAGGCCCCTCCTGTCAAATAGGAAACAGGTGTGCACCTGGTGGGGCAGCAGGAGGACAGCTGGGGAAAACACAAAGTCCCTGGTTCCCTTCCCAGACCTGCTTCTTCCAGGCTGAGGAGCCTGGGGCAGGCGATTCCCCTCTCTGAGCCTCAGTTTGCTCCTCTGTGAATTGGGGGGTTGGCAATCCCATGTTGCACAACTGCTGTGAGGGTTGGAGCTCATGAAGGAAAGACCTAGCTCGCGCCTGCACACAGAAGGTGCTCACATCAATGACGTCATCCCCATTCCCAACGTCATCACGCTCAAGGTCTGGGAAGGCACCTGGGGGTTGTGACTGGGGTCTCAGTGGCCTTCGTCCTGCTGCTGTTCCTCCTCCTCTTCCTCCTCCTCCGACATCGGCATCAGAGCAAACACAGGACATCGGGTGAGTAGGGAATGGGGGAACCCGTGGGCCGACCGAGGGTGGGCTCGGGGCACCAGCCAGAGGGAAACCAAACACAGAGGAAAGTCAGCTTAGAAAAACTGCTCCAGAAATTCCCAGGTGAAAAATCGATCGAGAAAGAAGAGAATAAATGTGAGCATGTGTGGAAGTGCTTGATTCTTCTGATTTTACTTTAAACTTACGACGTATTTAAAGCCTCAGTGCCAGTGGGCCTCCAGGTTTCCTTCTTTCCGCTCGAGTTGTGTGTGCAGGGCAGCTGGTTCGAATTCTCCCAGGCCTGACCCTCTGTCCATCTCTGTCCAGCCCATTTCTACCGTCCTGCAGGGGCTGCGGGGCCAGAGCCCAAGGACCAGGGCCTGCAGAAGAGGTAATTCTGCATGAAGACCCAAGACTCCCATCCACCCGCACAGCCCCCTCACTGCCCCTCACACTCCCGTGTCCTCCCCCAGGGCCAGCCCAGTTGCTGACATCCAGGAGGAAATTCTCAGTGAGTGACTAGAAGCGGAGGGCACCTGGGGTGGGCAAGGGAGCACCAAAGTTTCTGTAGCAATGGGGGCAGGAGCACAGGCTGGGAGGGGTCTGGGGCCAAGGGGGAGGTGGTCTGAACCCACACTGTGGGACCTCAGGGACATCACAGTCCCTCCCTGGATCTCAGCCACCCTAGTGGGAACAGGGCAAGGGCTGGCAGGACTGAGAAGTCTCAGAGAACCTTCCCAGGAGACGAACCCCTTGCTCTGGCCCAGCAGATGCTGCCGTGAAGGACACACAGCCCAAGGACGGGGTGGAGATGGATGCTCGGGTGAGGCCCCGCCCCTGTCCCGGGCACCAAAGGCCTCCTGGTGCCAGATCTAATCCTGCAGGACTTCTCTGTCCTCCTTCCCCCGGCTCTCAGCATCGTCACGGTGGACCCCTCCTTGTCCAGCACGCTGCCTCCCGCCTGCTGCGACCTCACTCTCTTCTGCTGTCCTGGGACCTCGTGGGCCTCCTCCCGGGTCCCCTTCCTGCTCCTCATCCTCTGTTTGGCCGTCTGGTTGTTAGAGCGCTCCCCAGGCCTCAGGAGGATGAGGAATAAATGAACCACCCCGGTCCCCCAGGCTCCCCTTCATTCATTCAACCAGCGAGTGTTCCCAGGGAGCTCACTGTGGATGGGGCTCCCCATGGGAGCTGCAGACACAGCAGGGAGCAAAGCCGCCCCCGCCTCCTGAGCTCACCTCATGGTGGGAGACAAAATGCAAATAAATGCATCGTGTCCAGGAGTGCAACGTGCTGTAAGGAACATAAACCAGGGAAAGGGCAGAGAGTGTGGGGCAGTGGGGCCAGTCTGAATGGAAGGGGAGGGCTGTCTGCTCAGCTGTCATCTGAGAAGCCTGGACAGAGTGGGGCACACGATCCTCTGATGGACGAGCCCCTGCAGGCAGAGGAAACAGCCGTGCAAAGGCCCCCAGGCAGCAGCGAGCTCTTGCAGGAAGGCCTGTGAGGCTGCAGCCAAATGGGCAAGGTCAGAGTGAGGAGCAGAGGCCAGAACCACAGGGAGGGAGCGGCCAGACCCTCCACGGCCTTAGGGCGTCCCTGAGATTCCATCAGGAAAGGGATGTAATCGGATCACCCCGGGAACAGTGAGGAAAATTGACTCCAGGAGGTCAGGGGGACTCAAGGACACCCCCCACCACTGTCTCTCTCCAGCAGAGCCCACACGATGAAGACCCCCAGGCAGTGACGTATGCCGAGGTGAAACACTCCAGACCTAGGAGAGAAATGGCCTCTCCTCCCTCCCCACTGTCTGGGGAATTCCTGGACACAAAGGACAGACAGGCAGAAGAGGACAGACAGATGGACACTGAGAGAGTCCTTTCCTCTCCAGGCCCCCAGGCCTCCCCACCCCCACCACGTTCCTTACCTCTCACTCTCCCCCGCTGCAGGCTGCTGCATCTGAAGCCCCCCAGGATGTGACCTACGCCCAGCTACACAGCTTGACCCTCAGACGGGAGGCAACTGAGCCTCCTCCATCCCAGGAAAGGGAACCTCCAGCTGAACCCAGCATCTACGCCCCCCTGGCCATCCACTAGCCCACGGGGGACCCAGATCTCATACTCAACAGAAGGAGACTCAGAGACTCCAGAAGGCACAGGAGCTGCCCCCAGTGGACACCAATGAACCCCAGCCAGCCTGGACCCCTAACAAAGACCACCAGGACATCCTGGGAACTCTGGGACTCACTAGATTCTGCAGTCAAAGATGACTAATATCCTTGCATTTTTGAAATGAAGCCACAGACTTCTCAATAAATCAATGAGCTGAGAAAACTGAAACAGAAATTAGAGCATGGTATAAATTTGGAATGATAATGTAAATATTACACATTAAATGATGAAATCGGAAAACTACAAATGAGCGAATGAATTAGAAAAGAATAAAACCTACGTAATTAATGACCTTGGCAATGACAGAAAGAATTTAGAAAAAGAACAACAAATTATTCCAAATGAAGGTGTGAGGAAGGGGACAAAAATAACAAGAGGAGTTACTAATGAGGGCTACGTGAAAACTCGATGAAGCCAAAAAAGCTCATTCTTGAGAATGTGAATTACATTCACAAATCCTAGCCACAATAAGCAAGGAAAAAAGCGGGGTTCAGGCACACATTTCCATATGGGGGTGAAACAGCAGACACCACCACAAATCTGACACATATTGCCTTTATTTTTTTCACTTTTAAGTTCAGGGATACATGTGCAGGTTTGTTAGACAGATAAACTTGTGTCAAGGGGATTTGTCTTGGTTTTTGTGTGAGGGTTTTTGTTTTGTTTTGTTTTGTTTTTTGAGACGGAGTCTCGCTCTATCACCAGGCTGGAGTACAGTGGAGTGATCTCGGCTCACTGCAACCTCTGCCTCCCGGGTTCAAGCGATTCTCCTGCCTCAGTCTCCCGAGTAACTGGGACTACAGGCACCTGCCACCACGCCCGGCTAATTTTTGTATTTTTAGTAGAGACAGGGTTTCTCCATGTTGGTCAGGCTGGTCTCAAACTCCCGACCTCAGGTGATCCGCCCGCCTCAGCCTCCCAAAGTGCTGGGCTTACAGGCGTGAGCCACCACGTCCAGCCCATACATTTCAATTTTAAAGGGATGCGCCCTAGTCCTTAGTTAGTCTCTCCTCATCTCTATAAAATGTTCAGCTACTCACCTCTTGGGCTATTGCTAGACATCGTTTTCTCTTCCTTCTTTCTGACGCCTACAATAGATAGGACATTCCCCCTCCTCATTCTATTCTCCCAAGTACTTTAAATTGCAATTTATAAAGTTTCTATGCTACACTCTAAAAAAAATTCTGTTTTGTTTTCTAATTTCATAATTGGTGCTTCACTGTGTCTTGTCCTCGAAGGAATGAGTATTTTGATTGTGTTCATTAAATCTGATTTTTCTATGTCTTCTAATTATTTTATATAATATTCATTCTGCTGTAGAAAAAAAAATCATATAATCCTGCCTCAGAAATTCAATGTCCTCTGTATTTCTCAAATATTTAAACATGTTTAACCTAAGATGGGTCTCACACATTCCTAGTACTCCTTTTGACCATGATAATCCTCATTAGTGAGTGTGGATTGTCAACCATAGCACTTTGTGTTTGATTTTTTGGTTTGTTTTTTGTTTTTATTTATTTATTTATTTATTTTTTGAGACGGAGTCTCACTCTGTCACCCAGGCTAGAGTGCAGTGGCGTGATCTCAGCTCACTGCAACCTCTGTCTCCTGAGTTCAAGCAACTCTCCTACCTTAGCCTCCCGAGTAGCTGGGACTACAGGTGCCCGCCACCACAACCAGCTAATCTTTTTTTTTTTTTTTTTTTGTATTTTTAGTAGAGATGGGGTTTCACCGTGTGGCCAGGATGGTCTCGATCTCTTGACCTCATGATCTGCCTGCCTCGGCCTCCCAAAGTGCTGGGATTACAGGCGTGAGCCACCACGCCCAGCCTGTGTTTGTTTTTGAGACAGGTTCTTGCTCTGTCACCCAGGCTAAAGTGCAGTGGCGCACCACCCCAGTTCACTGCAACCTCCGCCTGCCAGACTCAAGCGATCTTCGACCTCAGGCTCCTAAGTAGCTGGAACTACAGGTGTGCACCACCACACCCAGTTCATTTTTGTCTTTTTAGTAGAGATGGGGTTTCACCATGTTGCCCAGGCTGGTCTCGAACTCCTGGGCTCCAGCGATCTGCCCACCTCGGCCTCCCAGAGCGCTGGGAAAATAGGCGTGAGCCATCGCAGGCAGCCAGTCATAGCACTTTTTATCATTAGGATGATTCCTCTTTCTTCTCATTCTTGGACACTCATCTCCCAGTGCCTCATCTGCCAGAGAGGGTTTCTACCAGGGCTGCACTGGGCGTTAGGCTTGAAAAGAGGAGGACGGCACCACCTGCCCGGGTCTTGTGAGTCTGCTCAGGCCTGTAACCAGCAGGGGAGGGTCCAGTGTGAACCTCATGTCTGACAACTCTACAATGAATCTATTTCACACACACAGAGGGGGAGGCTCAGGGCTGACCATAAACCTGAGTCAATGAGCAGAGATACCCCAGTGCCATCCACAAACACAGGGGACGAGGAGCCACAACTTCCCACTTTCACCCAAAACCCCAACCCCTCCCTGACTGTGAGGGCCCTGGGGTTCTCCTCTGTCTCATATAGAGGCGGAAACCTCCCTTTTAGTGATTCCCTGACATTGCAAGTCACCAGAAGCCAACTCAGCTCTGACCTCGCTGCTTCCTGAGGTTTCCTGCCTGTGTCAGGAAGTTTCATTTCTCATTTCCTTCTATGGCTGCGTATTTCAGAAACATGTATTAGTCAGGGTTCTCTAGAGGGGCAGAACTAACAGGATAGATGTATATATAAAGGGGAGTTTATTAAGGAGTATTGATCCACACGATCACAAGGTGAGGTCCCACAATAGACTGTCTGTAAGCTGAGGAGCAAGGAAGCTAGTCCGAGTACCAAAACCTCAGAAGCCGAGAAGCCGACAGTGCAGCCCTTCAGTCTGTGGTCAAAGGCTCTGCATGGGAAGGTCAGGGATTGGCAGAGTAGGAGATGGACCTGGCTGGGCTGGGGGTGAGAGCAATGCAGGGTCCGTCCTGTACAGCCCACTCCCTCCCCCAGGCCCTGCTGTGCTGGGGAAGGGAGGGTTGTAAGGAGGACACAGCCCCAGATGGAGACACTAAGACAGGCCCCTGCTGTCAGATGAGAAGACCCAGAGCAGGAAGCAGGTGTCCACCTGGTGGGGCAGCAGGAGGACAGCTGGGGAAAACACAAGGTCCCAGGTTCCCCTCCCAGACCTGCTTCTTCCAGGCTGGGGGGCCTGGGGCAGGCGATTCCCCCCTCTGAGCCTCAGTTTGTGCATCTGTGAAATGGGTTGGGGGGTTGGCAATCCCACGTTGCACGACTGCTGTGAGGGTTAGAGCTCATGAAGACCCAGCACGCGCCTGCACACAGTAGGTGCTCACATCAGCGATGTCATCCTCATTCCCGACGTCATCACGCGCAAGGTCTGGGAAGATACCTGGGGGTTGTAACCGGGGTCTCAGTGGCCTTTGTCCTGCCGCTCGTCCTCCTCCTCCAATGTCGGCGTCAGAGCAAACACAGGACATTGGGTGAGCAGGGACTGGGGGAACCTGTGGGCCCACCGAGGGTGGGATCAGGGCACCAACCAAAGGGGAACCAAACACACAAGAAAGTCAGCTTAGAAAAACAGCTCCAGAAAGTCCCAGCTGAAAAATCTAGAAAGAAGAGAATAAATATGAGTGTATGTGCAAGTAATTTATTCTTTGAGCTTTTTATTTTATTTTATTTGAGACGTGATCTGGCTCTGTCACCCAGGCTGGAGTGCAGTGGTGTGATCTCGGCTCGCTGCAACCTCCACCTCCCAAGATCCTCAATGATCCTCCTACCTCAGCCTCCTGAGTAGCTGGGACTACAGGCCCCTATCACCACGCCAGGCTAATTATTTTTTTGCGGGGGAGAGATGGGGGGTCTCACTATGTTGCCGAGGCTGGTCTCAAACTCCTGAGTTCAAGCAATCCACCCGCCTCAGCCTCCCAAAGTGCTGGGATTATAGGCATGAGCCATTCGGCCCAACGTCTTCGGGCCTTTTTAAGTGTATCCAGTATTTAAAACAACTATGCCTGTAATCGCAGTACTTTGGAAGGCTGAGGCAGGTGGATGGCTTGAGCCCAGGAGTTTCAGAGGACTCTGGGCAATGTGGTGAGACCCCATCTCTACAAAAAAAATTAAAAATGCAAATAAGCCAGGTTTGGTGGTGTGCACCCGTGGTCCCAGCTACTCAAGACGCTGAGGCAGGAGGATCACTTGACCCTATGAGGTCAAGGCTGCAGTGAGCTGGGATCGCACCACTGTGCTCCAGCCTGGGCGACAGAGCGAGACCTTGTCTCAAAAAAAAAAAATATATATATATATATATATATATATATATATATATATATATGGGTGTGTTTTCAAGTTTCATTTTTTCCCCTAAAGTCGCATGTACTGGGTGGGTGGTTCTAAGGTTCCCAGGGCTGAGACTTTGTCCTTCTTCACCTAGCCCAGAGAGAGGCTGATTTCCAACACCCTGCAGGGGCCGTGGGACCAGAGCCCAAGAACAGGGGTCTGCTGAGGAGGTAATTCTGCCCAAAGACCCCAGACTCCCACACTCCACCACACCACACTCTCGTGTCCTCCCCCAGGTCCAGCCCAGCTGCTGACATCCAAGAAGAAAACCTCAGTGAGTAAGAGGAAGAGGGGGTGCACCTGGGGTGCAGATGGGGACCCTGCAGTTTCACTAGTAACAGGAAGGGGCTGGGAAGGGTCTGGGGCTCAGGGGAACATGGTTCACTTCATACTGTGGAACCTCAGGGACATCACACCCGCTCCCTAGATCTCAGCAGTCCCACTGGGAGCAGGACAGGGGGAGGTGGTACTGAGAGGTCCCAGGGAAACTTACCAGGAGACGAACCCCTTGCTTTGCCCCAGCAGACCCTGCTGCGAATTTTTTTTTTTTTTTTTTTTGAGATGGAGTCTCGCTCTGTCACCCAGGCTGGAGTGCAGTGGCGCGATCTCGGCTCACTGCAAGCTCCGCCTCCCGGGTTCATGCCATTCTCCTGCCTCAGCCTCCCGAGCAGCTGGGACTACAGGTGCCCGCCACCACGCCCGGCTAATTTTTTGTATTTTTAGTAGAGACGGTTTTCACCGTGTTAGCCAGGATGGTCTCGATCTCCTGACCTCGTGATCCGCCCGCCTCGGCCTCCCAAAGTGCTGGGATTACAGGCGTGAGCCACCATGTCCCGCCTGAAAGTGAGACTTTTAACAGGGTCTTGCAAAATTGGATGTCTGCTAGGTAGGCATAGCCGGGGCAGTCACAGCAGGTAATTTATCTCTTGGCACTCAACTATCCCTTCCCCAGTTCCTCACTGGTCGAGTACTATGAGGTTACAATCTTCCCAGACTTCGCCTGAGTTTCATTATCCCCCTTATAAGGTTGTACCCCGTCCCCTTCCCCGCTTAAGTTGCGATTTCCCAATAACAAAATTTTTTTCCCTTTTATGGGCTGACCGCCTCCTCCCCCACAACCCCCCGCCATTCTGTTCACTTATTGTGATTTGCTAGGAGCATGAGCCGTGCGGTTTGTTACATCCGCAGACTGGCTGCCAATACTTGGATATCATGACTTGAAAATGGACCCTTTAAAATGTGTTCTCACAAATTCCCTCCTCTTTTTTATTTACTTCCTTTGGTCTCATTTTCATTTGAACCCTTCTGGTGCTTGAATCGCTTTAGAAGTTGTTTACTTTCTTTTTTTCTTTTTCTTTTTCTTTTTTTTTTTTTTTTTTTTTGAGACAGAGTCTTGCTGTGTGGCCCAGGCTGGAGTGCAGTGGTGCCATCTCAGCTCACTGCAATGTCCGCCTCCTGGGTTCCAGCGATTCTCCTGCCTCAGCCTCCCGAGTAGCTGGGATTACAGGCGTGCACCACCATACCCAGCTAATTGTTTTTGTATTTTTAGGAGAGATAGGGTTTCACCATATTGGCCACGCTGGTCTCAAACTCCTGACCTCAGGTCATCCGCCCACCTCGGCCTCCCAAAGTGCTGGGATTACAGGCATGAGCTACCACGCCCGGTCAAATTTTTCACTTTATGGCTACATAGTAGGTGTATATATTTATTAAATTACTTTTCGATGGTATTAATTCAATTTACTATTTTTCACCTTCACGACGTCTGTCTAATGCATTTCAACAACTGTCTGTGTTTTCCTCACGTATCTTGGTTGTCATTCCTGTGGGACAGCTCCTCCCACGCACCCGGCCTTTCATAAAGGGTTTCTCCCACGGCTGTCCAGGCATCAGCCTGATGAAGGGGATTGTTGCCGCTGCTCCTGCCCCACTCCCCCAAACTCAGTGTCAGCTCAAGATTGTGCCCAGCAGGGATGGGACCAACGCCAGCCTCACACTCACCTGTGGGGCAGACGCCCATGTCTGACCACCGTGGATTGAATCTGTTTCTCACACACAGGGGAGGGGCTGAGCGCTGACCGTGGCCTCCAGTGAGTGAGCAGAGACCCCCCAGCGCCTGTCCACACACACAGGGGAGGGGGAGCCACCGCTTCCAGCCTCACCCAGAGCCCTGACCCCTCCCTGCCTGGGAGGACGTGGGGTTCCTCTTCTGTCCCACATGGAGGTGGGAGCCTCCTCCTCCCTAATGACGCTCGGTGGTCCCAGACACCTGTGGCCACTCAGCATTGAACTCTGCTCATGGAAGGGGATGCGTCTCAATGTGAGGAACTGTTTTTCCTCTTTCTCTGCCTGTGGCTGTGATGATCTGCATATTTCAGACGTATCACAAGGAGAATTTCATGGTATTTGGAGCCGATGTGGGCTCTTGAGTGGGGGCGTCAATCATCCTCCTCGACTGTGAAGCCCAGCACCAGGATCCTCTCCCGTCCCCACCCTCCTGTCTGAACTGGTCTGGAAATTCACCATGGCTGAGCCTCCCATGTCCTGGGCACCACTGACCCCCACAGCCACTGTGATGAGTGGGGTTCATGACAGCAGGCTCAGAGGTGACATTCATGTCCAAAGTCACATAAACCCTAGATGATAATCAGGAATTAAATACAAATCAGCTCACCTTCCCCAGAATCAGATTATAGATTACAATGAAACATATATATATATATTTCTCTTTATCCCCTCTATTTCTCCTTTTTAGACAGGATCTTGCTCTGTCGCCCAGGCTGGAAGGCCAAGGGGTGATCATAGCTCCCTGAAGCCTCCGCCTCCCGGGCCCAAGTGATCCTCCCACCTCAGCCTCCTGAGTAGCTGGGACCACAGGCATGAGCCTCCATGCCCAGCTCACTTTTTTCTTTTCTGTAGAAACAGGGTCACAGTCTGTTTCCCAGGACTGTCTGAAGCTCCTGGCCTCAAGCCATCACCCGCCACAGCCTCCTGAAGTACTGGGATTCCAGGCATGAGCCACCACGGTAGACCCTGCATTTCTCTGTGCTCACTGCTACACGCAGCTCAGCCTGGACTACACAGCCAGGTGTCAGGTGCGTCTCTGCTGATCTGAGTCTGCCTGCAGCATGGACCTGGGTCTTCCCTGAAGCATCTCCAGGGCTGGAGAGACGACTGCCATGGTAAGGACCCCGTAACGCTGAACTGATGGACGAGCTGAAGGAGGGAGGGAGACCCCATGGGGAGGCTCTGAGAGGGAGGAGGAGCCCACGGTCACCCTCGCCTGAAAGGGGCTGACTCAGGAAGGCACCAGGTCTATTTGCGGCTGTGTCCCCGTCCTCAGTGAGATAAAGATAAATCAGGCAGACAGTGGCCCGGGGGCAGGGAGACCCCATTTCTCTCTGAAATGCCTGCAGAGAGCCTGGTGCCTGCCCCCACTTCAGCCCTGGGGAAATCAGAGCCAGGTTCCTGGGGTGGCAGTTCCTCTTCCTGTGGGCTGAGGATGAGACAACCCCATGACAAGAAGGACCCAGCCTCCGAGCGGCCACACCCTGTGTGTCTCTCTGTCCTGCCAGCACTGAGGGCTCATCCCTCTGCAGAGCCCGGGGTCACCAGGAGGAGACGCCATGACCCCCACCCTCGCAGCCCTGCTCTGCCTAGGTGAGATTTCAAGATGGGGAGGGGGAGATCTGAGTCTTGGAGGAACCCCACCCCACACACAAGCCCTGGTCCATCAGGAGACCTCAAAAGCTCAGGAGGCACCAGGGCGGGGAGGACCTGCTCAGGCTTCAGGGCAAATGCCTCACAGGGAATTCTCTTCCAGGGCTGAGTCTGGGCCCCAGGACCCACGTGCAGGCAGGTGAGTCTGTCCCCAGCTGTCCCAGGTCCCTCATCCTTACTAGGGACAAGGGCCACACATGGGCAGCTGGGGGAGGAGACAGCAGTTCTGGGTGGGGAGGAGACAGTAGTTCTGGGTGACTGATGGGGATGATGAGGAAGTCCTGGGGCTGGGAGCTGGGATCTGAGCGTGGGGATGTCTTGGGATCCAGCCTCTGATTTCCATCTAGGGCCCTTCCCCAAACCCACCCTCTGGGCTGAGCCAGGCTCTGTGATCAGCTGGGGGAGCCCCGTGACCATCTGGTGTCAGGGGAGCCTGGAGGCCCAGGAGTACCGACTGGATAAAGAGGGAAGCCCAGAGCCCTGGGACAGAAATAACCCACTGGAACCCAAGAACAAGGCCAGATTCTCCATCCCATCCATAACAGAGCACCATGCGGGGAGATACCGCTGCCACTATTACAGCTCTGCAGGCTGGTCAGAGCCCAGCGACCCCCTGGAGCTGGTGATGACAGGTGAGAGGACACTCTGGGGTCCCAGCCCCAGGCTCTGCCCTCAGGAAGGGGGTCGGCTCTCAGGGGTGTCTCCCTCTCACAGCCCAGCCCTGGGGATGATGTGGGAGGTGGGAGCCCCATTTAACATGGTGCCTCTTTCTCTCCTAGGAGCCTATAGCAAACCCACCCTCTCAGCCCTGCCCAGCCCTGTGGTGGCCTCAGGGGGGAATATGACCCTCCAATGTGGCTCACAGAAGGGATATCACCATTTTGTTCTGATGAAGGAAGGAGAACACCAGCTCCCCCGGACCCTGGACTCACAGCAGCTCCACAGTGGGGGGTTCCAGGCCCTGTTCCCTGTGGGCCCCGTGAACCCCAGCCACAGGTGGAGGTTCACATGCTATTACTATTATATGAACACCCCCCGGGTGTGGTCCCACCCCAGTGACCCCCTGGAGATTCTGCCCTCAGGTGAGGGAGCCACGGCCTTGTCTAACACACTTTCGGGGCAGCTGACAGGTTGTGGGGAGTTTGGCTGGTGACTGAATCTGGAAAGGACCCAGAGTGATGTGTTGAAGGACGGGCTGAAGGCATGAGGGAGACCCCATGGGGAGGCTCTGACATGGGAGGAGGAGCCCTCAGCCACGCTCACCTGAACGGGGAGGACTCAGGAAGGCATCGGTGTGTTTGCTGTGAGGTCCCAGCTCTCAGGGAGAGGAGGAAAGATCAGGCACAGTGGCCAGGGCTAGGGAGACCCCACTCCTCTGAAATGACTCCAAGACAGCCCCGGGTGAGAAGGAGGCCCTGGGGTCAGAGACTCAGAGCATGAGAGACAGTGAGACCTGCAGGGCCAGGACGGGAGAAGGAAGGGGCGTGGGAGGAACCAGCCCTCTCAGTCCTGGCTCCTCTTTCCCTCCAGGCGTGTCTAGGAAGCCCTCCCTCCTGACCCTGCAGGGCCCTGTCCTGGCCCCTGGGCAGAGCCTGACCCTCCAGTGTGGCTCTGATGTCGGCTACGACAGATTTGTTCTGTATAAGGAGGGGGAACGTGACTTCCTCCAGCGCCCTGGCCAGCAGCCCCAGGCTGGGCTCTCCCAGGCCAACTTCACCCTGGGCCCTGTGAGCCCCTCCCACGGGGGCCAGTACAGGTGCTATGGTGCACACAACCTCTCCTCCGAGTGGTCGGCCCCCAGCGACCCCCTGAACATCCTGATGGCAGGTGAGGAGCCCAGCGGGTTCAGTCAGGGACCCAGGCTCTGCACAGGCCCTGCCGGGGGAGCCCAGGTGGTGATGGCCGGGATGAGGGGTGGGGGTCCCAAGGGAGGGAGAGACAGACAGAGACAGGGGATGGGCGGGGAGGCGAGACTCAGAGAAAACAGAGACAGAGACACTGAGGGTCCCAGGGAGAGGCCTGGGGAGGTGTCAGCTCAGAGCAAGGTGGGGCAGCCCCTCACCCATCCTTCTTCTCTCCAGGACAGATCTATGACACCGTCTCCCTGTCAGCACAGCCGGGCCCCACAGTGGCCTCAGGAGAGAACGTGACCCTGCTGTGTCAGTCATGGTGGCAGTTTGACACTTTCCTTCTGACCAAAGAAGGGGCAGCCCATCCCCCACTGCGTCTGAGATCAATGTACGGAGCTCATAAGTACCAGGCTGAATTCCCCATGAGTCCTGTGACCTCAGCCCACGCGGGGACCTACAGGTGCTACGGCTCATACAGCTCCAACCCCCACCTGCTGTCTTTCCCCAGTGAGCCCCTGGAACTCATGGTCTCAGGTGAGGGCGCTGACCCCGTCCTCTCTGAGCTCAAAGGCTCAGCTCAGGCCCAGGCCCCCAGGAGAGCTCTCGGCTGGGATGGACCGAGGGAGGCTGTGAGGGAGGCTTAGCCAGAGGGCACCCAGCCCTCAGAGGGGAGGAGGCCAACAGGGGTTCTCCTAGGCGTGGCCACCCGTTCTCCCCTGCCTGGCATGCAGAAGGCACCAGGTGGGCAGAGAGATGGTTCCAGGGAATCCACTGGGCGGAAGCAGGAGAGTGGGAGTGGAAGGGTGCACTCCATGGACGGCCCCCGCCCCTCACCCGCCTCCCGTGCTCCTTCCAGGACACTCTGGAGGCTCCAGCCTCCCACCCACAGGGCCGCCCTCCACACCTGGTGAGTCACTGAGGCCTCGTGGGGAGCGCGGCCTCCCCCAGGGCAGTCTGAGTCTCCCAAAGGATCCCACTCCCCTCCCCTCAAGGACGGGCTTGTGTCCCAGGGGCTCTGAGGCTGGGCTGGTGAAGAGTGGGGGGTTCAAGGCAGAGAGAGATGTTGGGGCCCAGCCAGGAGGAGGAGCCGGGCTGATGTGGGGAGCAAGGTAGCCCCAGGCTTCACCTCCCTGTCCTGACCCAGGAGGTCCTGAGGACCAGCCCCTCAACCCCCCAGGGTCAGGCCAGTGACTCCCTGGAGCTCGTGGTCTCAGGTGAGGGCCCTGACCCTGTCCTCTCTGAGCTCAAATGCTCAGCTCAGGCTCTGCACCCAGGAGAGCTCTGGGACACTAGGAAAGAAGGGAGTGAAGGTGGAGAATCCAGCCCATGGGAGGGAGGAAATGGCTCAGGAGCAGCGTTGAAATTCATAGAACACAGGAAAACTGAAATAGTTTCATGAGGAGACTGGAGGGAGCCCTGCTGCAGGAGAGGGAGGGTTTATTGAGGAACTCCGTAAAAGCCACGTCATGAGGCCTGGAAGAATAAGAACGCAGAGCCCAGGGGAGAGGCTGGCTCAGGGCTCTCCCCTTCTGTTTTGATTCTCAGGAGGAGCTGAGACCCTCACCCCATCACAAAACAAGTCAGACAGTTATGGGGCGGGCACAGAGGGTCAGGTTCTGTCAATGGCGGATGGGGGGTGCCCTGGGTTGGGCATCCAGGGGTCCTGGGTGAAGTTGATCTGCCCGGACCTCTGTGACCTCTTTGCCCACCATCCCCAGCCTCACACGCCAAGGATTACACAGTGGAGAATCTCATCCGCATGGGCATGGCAGGCTTGGTCCTGCTGTTCCTCGGGATTCTGTTATTTGAGGCTCAGCACAGCCAGAGAAACCCCCAAGATGCAGCCGGGAGGTGAACAGCGGAGAGGACAATGCACCCTTCAGCGTGGTGGAGCCTCAGGGACAGATCTGATGATCCCAGAAGGCTCTGGAGGACAATCTAGGACGTCCAGAGGGGGGTGAGATTTCAGGCCACACACTGTGGAAGGTAATCATGTCTGATCACAAATTTTGGGTCTCCACCTTACTTCCAATCTATGTTGTGAATGCCCAGTTGAGACCCACGGAAAAGAGCTCATGGGTGAGTGTGAAGTGCTTCTCTGTCTTAAGTTCCCAGAGATCCTTGCCTCTTGGAGGCCAGCAAACACTAACTCTTGAGGAATTC